>NC_000007.14:118870415-119173445 GCF_000001405.40 Homo sapiens | reverse complement strand
TACATATTTTCCTATAACTCAATCCATAAACTTTTTTCACAGATAACTTTGTAGAACATGACTTAATTATTAAGGAATATGTCTATAGTCTCTATGGGAAGGGCTGTAATTTGGAAGTGGCAAAATTCTGTCATATTTCTGAACAGTAAAAATACATTGTTTGATGGTCACTGCTCAATGGGTGAAATTTTCCACTATAAATGAGCCAGACTCTTAAATATGCAGTAGTCCCACAACACTTTCTTCAAGTTTTAGGGACAATGTATTAACAACCAATGATACTAGAATCCAACACTCTCCTGTCTGTTTTTGATTATCCCACTGTAAGATAAGGGTATTATTAAGGTCTGTATTTCTGTTCCTTGTGTTCACTCAAAAATATAAGATTGTAACTTAGCAAAAAACTTTGAAATATCTTGCTGTGAATATTTATGAACTTGCTTTTACTAGAGTTGAGAATATTTCTGAGAACCAAACTCATTAATTTCTTAGTAATTTAAAGGTGAATCGTGGTTTATTTTATACAATGAAATATATGAATGGTATGAAATTTTAAATTAGTATTATTACACACTTAGTATGTGCAAGGTATAGCCATCTACTAGTAAACAGTCTACAAGGAATAATTAACATATAAATACATCAACAGCAAGTTAGGTTATTAAATATCTTAACATAAGTACACATGAAGAGCAACCAATAATAAGAAAAATTATCTCTGTCATAGGGATTCAGGAAATCTTCATGAAGTACATTTTGCTTTTGTGTGTTTCTTGAGCAATGAAACTGCTAGCTCCATGACAGCAGGGGTCAAGTCTGTTTTCTCCATCTTTTTACATACTGCATTTGGCATAGGCCATAAAACAATTAATTTTTATTGAGTGTTAAAATGGTATACTCTACAGAAGGTACCCTAGAGCAACGCAACATAAAGCCTGGAAAATTATTAGGGTTGGAGGTATGGACATGAAAACCCAAAAATCATTTTTATAGAAAAGTGACTGTTTTAGTTCCCTATCTTATTCTGTAAGAGATAAGTTACTCACCCTAAAATTATCTGACATATATTTTAGGACTATAGGGGGGCCCATAAATGACAAAACAGAGGACATAAAACAAGGCGGTATATTTTTCTTCTCTATCAATCCTGGAAGCACTATTGCTAGAAGGCAGGTGAAATGTCTGGGGAGTACATTAGAGTGCCAAAAGTGCTGTAATATTCATAGAGCTATAGCAGACAGTTTTGAACGTGATGCCTTCTGGATTTGAAAGATAAACGAGGAGGCAATTCTTTGGGGCCGTGAGTGTGTATGTTTCTGTATTTCTCTGTGCTTCTCCGTTAGAAATGTGCCTGTGATACAGAGCCCTGAACAGAGCCTGTCACAATCAAATCCCCCATAAATGTTTGTTGACTGAAGATTTACACCTCCAAAACCAAAACTTAGTAAACAAAAATGTATTTCCTCATTTTCTCTCAATTTTTTGTCTCCGTTCTTTGTTTCAACTATTTCCTATCACCAAATTTTAAAACAAGTTTTTAATTCCTTCACTTTATACTTAAGTTTTTACTGTCATAAAATTGCTCTCTTTATGCTTACCAATTTGACAGATTTTTGGAACTAAATTTGACAAAGTTTTTGGAATATTTGTTCTGTGCAAAGCATATTCTCATCAATAATGAGAATATGGGCAAGAGGCACTAAGAATTTAAAAATAACAATAAATGAATTTTGATGTTATATAGACCTGAAGGAGACGGTGGACTTGAAGATTATTCCAGATTCCTGGCTTGGGTATGGGTAGAGAGAATGACCATTCTCTATTTAAGAGATACAAATTCTGGTGGGGTAATTCCTAGCAGAGTAGGAAGCAGATACACAGAGACACCACGTTTACCCTATGGTCATTGTTACTTCATTCATTTATTGGAATTATTTTATGATGCTCCTAATATTTCCCAGCATAATATAAGTTCTCAGAATTACTCACTGAAGTTTTAAAACATAAACATGTCAGAGAAATTAGAGCATGAAAATGTAAGATGAGATCTGTGTTTGAGGAAGCTTTTTAAAGAAGGAAGAAAATACCGGAGAAGGCAGAGGAAGGATTGATAAAAGTAGGAGAGGAAAAGGAAGAATAGAATAGAATAGAATAGAATAGAATAGAATAGAATAGAATAGAATAGAGAGAGATTATCTGCTTTGTAGATGGCATAGGAAGGTAGTTATAGATACACCTTTTTTATATCCTCATAAAATGTTCCTACTGTGGTGAAAATAAGCTCTACAGAAGGGGACTTCATAGTTTAACTTCCTGTCTTTGATTTTACAATTTTTAATTGATAATTACACTTTTCAATCTGCACACTCTATAAATAAATAAAATATGTCAAACAGCAAAGCCACATTGTTGAAATGAAAAGTGGTATGTCTTGAAATGTATTTTGACCACATGATCAGAATTTATTCTGGATGATCTAACACAACATGAAATCTTCATTGGTAAAATATCTGAATCTCTTTTTTCTTTGACATTTTCTTGAATTCTTATATAATTATTAAAATTAAAAGTAAAAATAATATTTGTTATGCAACACTAGGTATATATAACATGAATTCTTTTATAATGAAAACATAAAAGAATTATCAATATAATAGACTTTCATATATGTCATATATATGGATATATATTAAAATAAATAGATACATGACATTTTAACTTCATATACATAATATAGGAGCAGAGAACTATTTGAATGTAGGCCTACTGTAATATTCATGGGAAATAATACCTTAAGAGCAATGTGAAATTCAGATGAGTTTTTATTCCTTTTTTAGTACATTCTCAGAGGACATTTATTATTTAACATACATTATTTGTTACACCAAAAGCAATTAATTCCACAGGTAGCAGAGTTTTATCTTTTATCTTTGAAAACAAAGTGACATAAAATCAAAGCAAACATATGTTTCTAATTTTACAAGTATTATCTGATAAGCAATTCAGAAAAATTCTACCTAATGTAAGTTGAACCTAGAAAAACCTTTGGGATTTTTAAACATTCGTAAAAATTCATCTTGTCAAAATTAAGAATACATAATGAAGGAGTGATCCCAGGAACATTTGACTTCAGGCTGTTTCGATTTTTAAAATGCATGAGCTAATGGCTGTATTTTTTGCTAATTTTTTAAATCACCAAAACTACTTTTCAAGGAATTTCCCGATTCAACTTAAGAGCAAAGAAACAGAAACTGTATGCATATTTTGTCAAGGAATCATATCATAGAAGTAATCTTAATATCCAAAAGTTGTTACCTTTGGAAAATGTAATTAAGATTACTGAATCGTAAACATGCATTTATAAAAAGATGTACATCATAAATTCTGGTCTGGCAAAAAGTGTAATAGAATTTGGAGTCACTTATATGTTATCACAACTCTGTAGTTGCTTAATTTAGAAAAGTTATTTAATTTCACTAAAACTTATTCTCCTTGTCTGTGACAGGTTTATTAACGAGACTACATATATTTGGAATAAAGATTAAACAAAGATAAAACCATGTGGAGAATAAAACAAGGACCTTAAATCCTGATTGGCAGGCTTCTAATACAGGCTCTATCACTTAGCAGCTATGTTAACTCATTCAACTTAGCTTCTCCACATTTAATTTTCCTCTTCCAAAAAAATGAAAGTAATAATAGTACTCAAACCATAGGACTGACCTGTGTATTGCAAGAATTAAGGGGCTCTAGATGGCTGACTAGAGACATCAGACACTTGCCTTCTCCAGAAAAAAGAGCCAAAATGATAAATAATCACATCTTGAATACAACATCTAGGATAGAATGCTAGAGTCCAATAGAGAAGTCACAGGAAACACCTATGACACAGAAGAATATGAAAGTGAGTGACTGTCTTGGCTGAGATTGGCTGTGAACCCAGAGGGATTCACTATTGCAGGAAAAAGTAAGTGAGAGACCCTCAGTGGTCCACATCCCTACCATGGGCTGCTGCAATCTGAACCATGGAAGAGCCTTTCTACTCACATGAACCCCGACGCTAGAGTGGGCAATGATCTGGAGACCCCATGAGGGTATTGAACTAGGAAGGGAACTTGCTTTGGGTCACTCACACCTCTGAGACCTAAGCAGCTGCAGCACTGTACCACTGTGTGAGTACAGCTGTCATGGGACTGCATCCTGCCCTGGTAACAACAACTCCTATATCTCCACATGCTAGGAGTCTCCACTAATATCTCCCAGTGTCCACCCAGAGGGCTACAGTAGCACAGTGCTGGCTGAACCCAGTGATGCTGTGGAGTCCCCAGTACTCTAGAACACAAAGAATACTAATTCCCAGGGAAAGGATGGTGCAGCTCACCAAAAATGTGGCCCCTGGGAAAAAGGAAACCAAAGTGCATGCTTTCCAGAGCCTGAAGGCTCCTTGTTTATGGCTGTGAGAAGTGACTCCACTCCCAGTAGTAGTGTAAACCCTGTACTCCAACTCACAAGCTGAGCATGAGGTTCCTTTCCTACTTTGCACACTGCAGCAGCAGTTGCTGCTACCGGGAATCCAGCTGGGTGAATCTGAGAACTGACTATCTGGGGCTGTGGACAGTGATGCCATCCCCACTAGTGAGGCAACTGCTGGGCTTGGGCTTGTGCATAGAGAACAAAAATACATCTCCCCCTCTGCACACCACTGCAGCTGCAGCCTCTGTAGATGCAGGCAAAGGCCGGGATGGATGAGTCAGAGGTCTGCCTGTTTGGGGCTGCTAGTGGCAAGCATGTGCTCACTAGGGTTGGGGGCAGAGTGGCCTTCATTATCAGGCTTGCATGTGAAGGTCAACGTCCCTCCCTCCTTTTGTATGGCCCTGCTCTCACAAATAACAGGTGAATCTGAAAGCTGCATGTCTTCATCTATAGGTGGTGATCCCACATTGCAGCCACTGCCAACAACAGTACCCACTGCTTCAGACCCAGAGGGTCACCCTGCCACTGCTACTGTCATTGACCACACCATGCTGGATGCCCAGTGACCCAAAAACCCACTCACTTGGTTTGCCCATCACTGGTACTACCAGCATCTGAGAAAGCCACCTGAATGTCCAAGAGTTGGTCCACCTGGCCCTGCTAAGACCTGTTCCAGTGAATGCTGCCTTGAGGCCTAAGAACAGGTACGCTCAGCCCAACACTGCCATTCCTGGGGCCCAAACACTGGCTCACCTGGCTTTCTTGTGCCTAGCAAAGCTTTACCCTAGCCTCCACTAATAACTGCACTCTAAACCACTGAGAAAATAACAGATATTACTGATACTGTTTACAGCAGAAAAATCATGCAGAGACTATACCATTGCAGCCACCAGAATCAAATCCAAAGGGCCTTACTCAACCAATACAATTGATACAACATAAGAAAAACGTCCTCCTCTATGAAAACAAACTCAAATAATCAAGAGTTCATTATTAAACCAGATGAGCAGATATCAATGAAAGAACACAGTAAACATTAAAAAGAAAGAAAATTTGACACCTCTAAAGGAACACAATAATTCCCTAGCAACAGATCCCAGTTTTTAACAATCCACAAAAATCGCAGAAAAAATAATTAAAATTATGTGACTAAAAAAGCTCAATGAGACACAAGAATGTTCTGAAGAATAATCCAAAGAAAATTTAAAAAATTAGGATATGAATAATATATTAACCAAAGAGATAGGTATCATAAAGAAAGAACCAAATGGTAATTCTGGAACTGAAGAGTTTACTGAATGAAATACGAAATACACTTGAAAGCTTTAATAATAGAGTAGATGAAGCAGAATAAAAGAATCTCAGAACATAAAGACAAGCCTTTACAAATAATCCAGTTAGACAAAAATAAATAAAAAAGAACAATGAACAAAGCCTTTGTGATATATAGGACACATAAAGTGACCAAATGTATGAATTGTTGCTATCCCCCAAGGTGAAGAAAGAATAACTTATTAAACAAAACAACAAATGAAAACTTCTCAATTCAGGTACAAGAGTCCCTGCATTTCACAGATACAATGCAATAAGGTCTTTTTCACAGCACATTATAGTCACTGTATAAAGTCAATGATAAAAAGAAAATTCTAGAAACTGCAATGGAAAGCATTTAGTCACCTATTTTTTAAAGTCCTTATCAAAGTAGCAGTGAACTTCTCAGCAGAAATTTCACAGACCAGGAGAGAATGGGATGATGTATAAACAGGACTGAAATTAAAATAAAAGAATAAAATGGTCACCCAAGAATAATATAGCCAGGAAAAAACTTTTTATAAATGGAGAAATAGTCTTTTCCAGAGAAGCAAATGCTGAAGGAATTCACCACCACTAAAACAGGCCTAATAAGAAATGCTCAACGGAGTCCTAAACCTGGAGGTGAAAGGATGACAGTATAATCACGAAAGCACACTAAACTATAAAAGTCACTGGTAATTCAAATGCACAAATGAGGAAAAGAAAGGGTTCCATTGGTTCCATGACAGAAAACCAGCAAACCAAACAGATAAACAATAAGAGAGAGAAAACAAAACCAACAAATAATATACCAAACAACTACAAAATAATTAACAATATAATATGAATAAAATCTCACATAGGTATAAATACCTTAAATGTAAACAGATTAAATTTTCCACCTAAATAATATAGAATAGGTGAGTGGATTAAAGAAAAAATATATATCTACAAAGAAACACACTTTACTTATAAATATACATAAAGACTGAAAGCAAAGAAATGGAAAAATATATTCCATGCAAAGGAAAACCAAAAGCAAGCAGGAGTAGCTATGTATGTATAAACTGAATCATATTTTAAGTCGAAGTAGTAAAAAAGAACAAAAAAGATCATTATATCATTATATAATGATAAAGAAATTGCTACATCAAGCATATTATAATTCAAAATATACATGCACCCCATACTAGAGCACCCAAATCCATAAGGCAAATATTACTAGATTTAAAGAAATGGATAAACTCCAATTCAATAATAGTGAGAGACTTCAATACCCCACTCTCAGCATTAGACAGGTCATTTAGAATAAAATCAACAAAGAAATATTGGACTTAAACAGTGATTTCCAAATGGACCTGACAGACTTTTGCAGAACATTTTATCAAACAACTGCAGGATACACCTTTTTCTCATTATTATATAGAACATTGTACATAATTGACAAAATGTTAGGCCACAAAAGAATTCTGAACCAATTAAAAAAATTCAAATCATATTAAGTATCCTCTCAGATCACAATGGAATAAAATGAAAAATCAATATCAACAGAAACTTTGGAAACTATACAAATACATGGAAATACAACATGATCCTCAATGACCAATGGGTCCATGAAGAAATTAAAATGGATATCAAACAATTTGTGGAGACAAATGAAAATAGATATAAAACATACCAAAGCCTATGAGAAACAGCAAAAGCAGTGCTAAGAAGGAATGTAATAGCAATGCCTACATCGAAAAAACAGAAATGTTTCAAATATATAATCCAATGCACTTCAAGGAACTAGAAAAACAAGAACAAACCAAACCCAAACTAGTAAAAGAGGAGAGATAATAAAGATCAGTGCAAAAATAAATGAAATAGAGAATAACAACAACAAAATTACAAAGAATCAATGAAATAAAAAGCTGGTTCTTCAAAAAATAAACAAAATTGATAAACTGCTAACTGGTGTAATGAAGAAAATAAGAGAAAATATCCAAATAAATAAAATCATATTTGAAAAATAAGACATCATAACTTGGCCGGGCATGGTGGCTCAGGCCTGTAATCCCAGCGCTTTGAGAGGCTAAGGCGGGTGGATCACATTATGTCAGGAGTTTGAGACCAGCCTGGCCAACATGGGAAACCCCATCTCTACTAAAAAAATACAAAAATTAGCTGAACATGGTAGCACGCACCTGTAGTCCCAGCTACTTGGCAGGCTGAGGCATGAGAACTGCTTGAACCTGGGAGGTGGAGGTGACAGTGTGCCAAGATTGTGCCACCGCAATCCAGCCTGGGAGACGATATAAAACTGTCAAAAAAAAAAAAAGACATTATAACGGATACAACAGAGATTAAAAAAAACAATTTTAACAAACAAATATATGCTTACAAATTAGAAAAGGAATAAATTCCTGGAAAAATATGATCTATTAATATTGAATCAAGAAGAAATTAAAAACTGTGACCAATATGGAACAGCAAGATTAAATCAGTATTCAAAAGCCCTTCAATGAAAAAAAAAGTGCAGAAATGGGTGGATTCAAAGCCAAATTCTACCAAACATATAAACAGAAACTAATATCAATCCTCCCAAAAGCATTCCGAAAAATTAAAATGGAGAGAACTATTCCTAACTTATCCTACAAAACCAGCATTACCCTGACAGAAAACCAGACAAGGATACAAACACAAAAGACAATTACAGACAAATAGCCATCATGAACATGGACACACACAAAAAATCCTCAAAAAGATACTAGCAAATCAAATTCAACAGCACACCCAAAAGATAATACACCACTTATAAGCAGGATCAATGTCTCAGATGAAAGAATGGTTCAACATATGCAAACTGATCAATGTAACACATCACATCAATAGAATGAAGGACAAAAACTCTATTATTTCTCAATAGACACAGAAAAAGCATTTGACAAAATTTACACCACTTAATGACAAAAACTCTCAACAAACTAAACATAGAAGATACATACCATAAAATACTAAAAGTTATATGTGACAAACCCACAGTTAACAATATATTGACTGAGGAAAAGTTGAAAGCCTTTCATCTAAGAACTGCAACAAGAAAAGAACGCCCACTTTCACCACTTCTATTCAACACAGTACTAAAAGTCCTAGCCAGAGAGATCAGGCAAGAAAAAGAAATAAATGGCATTCAAATTGGAAAAAAAAGACAAATTTCCCATATTTGCAGATGACATGAAATTATATTTAGAAAAACCAAACAGTCTACCAAAAACCCCTTAGAACTGATTAAAGAAATAGGTAAAGTTGCAGGATACAAAATCAATATACAAAAATAGTAATGTTACTATAAACTGATAATAATATAGCTAAAATAGAAATTAAGAAGGTAATCCTACTTACAATAGCTACCAAAAAATAATACCTAGGAATAAATTTAACCCAGGAAATGAGAGATCTCTGCAAGAAAAACTATGAAACACTGATGAAGGTAATGGAAGAAGACACAAAACAATGAAAAGCCAATCCTCTCTTAATGGAGTGCATGAATCAATATTGTTAAAATGAACAACTGTCCAAAGCATTAGACAGATTCAATGCAATTCCTAGCAAAATACCAACATTATTTTTTAAAGAAAGAGAAAAAAAATTCTAAAATTCGTATGGCCCCAAAAATGATCTTGAATGGCCGAAGCTGTCCTGAGCAAAAAGAAAAACTAGAAACATCACATCATGTGACTTTAAACCATATTACAAGGCTACAGTAACTAAAACAGCACAGCATAATATCTGTATAACAATAAACACATAAACTAATGGAACAAAATAAGGAACATCAAAATATAGTCATTGATCTTCAGCAAAGCTTCCAAGGACATACACTGCAGAAAAAAAACACACTTTTTAATAAATGATGCTGGAAAGACCAGATAACCTTAGACAGTAGAATGAGACTGGATCCCTACCTGCCACCATATACAAAAGTCAATTCAAATGGGTTAAAAACTAAAATGTAGGACCCAAAACTATAAAACTACTGGATTAAAATAAGGAAAACTCTTCAGTACAAGGGTCTAGGCAAATATTTTTATGTTTAAGACCGAAAAAGGTACAGGCAACCAAGCAAAAAATAGACAAACAGTAGTATATGAAAATAAAAAAGCTTTGCATGTCAAAAGAAACAATCAACTGAGTGAAGAGACAACCTTATGAATGGGAGAAAATATTTGAAAATTACTCATCTGAAAGGGTAGTAATATCTATAATATGCAAGGAATTCAAAAAATTCGACACTAAAAACAAAACAAAACATAATGTTTCTATTAAAAATGGGCAAAGAACATGAGTAGACATTGCCCCCCGAAAAAAGACATCCAAATACCCAGCATGCATACGAAAACATTTTCAACATCACTAATCATCAGGAAAGCGCAAATCAAAAACCACCATGAGATATTATCTTACCTCTGGATGGTTATTATAAAGCTAAAAAAAAAAACAACAACAACAAAAAACAAACCCAAACACTGTCAAGGATGCAGAAAAAAGGAACCCATACATTGTTGGTATAAATGTAAATTAGTGCATCCACTATGGAAAAAAGTGTCTAGATTTCTAAAAAAAGAAAATGAAAATAAAACTACCATATGATCCAGCAATCTAATTACTAGGTATCTCCTACCCAAAGGAAAAAACATCAGTGTATCAAAATTATAACCTGCATTTTCATGTGTATCACAGCATTATTCACAATAGCCAAGATAGAGAATCACACTAAGTATCTTACCAATACATGAATGGATAAATAAAATTTGATATGTATATATACACAATGGAATATTATTTGGCCATGTAAAAGAATGAAATAATGTTGGCCAGGTGCAATGTCTAACAACTGTAATCCTAGCACTATGGGAGGCCAAGGAGGGCAGATGGCTTGAGCCCAGGAGGTTGAGACCAGTCTGGCAACATGGTGAAAACCCATCTGTACAAAAATAAAATAAAATAAAATAAAAATGAAAATAATAACCAGGCATGGTGATGCACACCTGCAGTCCCAGCTACTCAGGAGGCTGAGATGGGAGAATCCCTGTAGCCTGGCAGGTAGAGGCTGCAGTGAGCCACAAATGTGCCACTGCTCTCCAGCATGTGCAACAGAGCAAGACAAGACCCTATCTCAAAAAAAAAAAAAAAAAGAAAGAGAAAAGAAAAGAAATGACGAAAAGAAATCATGTCATTTGCAACTGCACAGAGGGCATCAGAGGTCATTCTGTTAAGTCAAATAAGCAGGAACAGACGTAAAAGTATTTTATGCTCTTACTCATTGTGTAAGCTAAAAATCTTGACCTCATGGACATAGAAAATAGAATAACAGATACCAGAGAGTGGGAAGGGTGGGTGAAGGCAAGCGTAAGGATAAAGAGAGGTTCATTATAGGTAGAAATAGAGAATTAAACAGAAAAATGAATTCTAATATTTGACAGCAGAATAGAGTGACTATACTTAGCAACAATATTATGTATATTTGTAAAGAACTGAAAGAGAGGAGGACTTGAAATGATATAAACATATAAAAATGATACTTAAAATAATGGATATTCCAAATGCCTTGACTTGATCATTATGCATTCTACGTATGTAAGAAAGACTCACATGTACTCAATAAATATGTAAAACTACTACGTATCAATAAAGGGGAAAAGAGTTAATATATTTACTGAATTAAGAACAAATCTTTGTACATAGTGAACACATTATATATGTAAACTTATTCTAGTAGTAAGTGGTATAGTGAAATTGCATGCATTTATTTAATAGATCTTTAGGGATTAGGAAATTAAAATCTATTATGTAGAATTCAATGTTCTTGTGTGTTTAGTTAATTGTTTAATGTATATGCATACCTTGTTTTATTGTACTTCACTGTATTTTAAATTTGCAGATATTGCTTTTTTTTTTAATAAATGGAAAGTTGGTGGCAGCCCTCCATTGATCAAGTCTACTGGCATCATCTTTTCAATAGCATGTGTTCACTTTGTGTCTCTGTGTCACATTTTGATAATTCTTGCAATATTTCCAACATTTTTTATCTGTTATAATTATCTGTGGTCTGTGATATTTAATGTTACTATTGTAATTGTTATGGGGTGTCATGAACAGCACCATATAATATGGCAAAAATACTCTATAAATGAGTGTGTTCTGATTGTTCCTCTGGCTGGCCATTATTTTGTATCCCTTCCTTTCCTCAGGTGTCCCTATTCCCCGAAAAAAAAAATTAAAATTTGACAAAATCCATCATCCCTTTAAGATTAAAACTCTCAGCAAAATCAGCATACAAGGAACATACCTTAATGTAATAAAAGCCACCTATGACAAACCCACAGCCAACATAATACTGAATGGGGAAAACTTGAAAGCATTCCCTCTGAGAACTGGAACAAGATAAGAATGTTCACGTCATCACTCCTCTTCAACATAGTACTAGAAGTCCTAGCCAGAGCAATAGGACAAGAGAAAAAAATAAATGGCATATAAATTGGTAAAGAGGAAGTCAAATTGTCACTGTTTCCTGACAATATGATCGTTTACCTTGAAAATCCTAAGGACTCCTCCAGAAAGCTCCTAGAACTGATAAAAGAATTTGGCAAAGTTTCCAGATACAAGATTAATGTACACAAATCTGTTGGTCTTCTATACACCAACAGTGTCCAAGCAGATAATCAAGAACTCAACCCCTTTTACAATAGCTACAAAACAAAAAAATACTTAGAAATATACCTAACAAAGGTGTTGAAAGTCCTCTACAAGGAAAACTGCAAATTGCTGAAAGAAATCATAGATGACAAAAACAAACAAATGGAAACACATCTCATGCTCATGGAAGGGTAGAATCAATGTTGCAAAAATGACCACACTGACAAAAGCAATCTACAAATTCAATGCAAGTCCCATCAAAATACCACCATCATTCTTCACAGAATTAGAAAAAAAAAATTCTAAAATTCACATGGAACTAAAAAATAGCCTACATAGGCAAAACAAGTCTAAGCAAAACGAATAAATCTGGAGGCATCACACTACCTGATTTCAAACTATACTATAAGGCCATAGTCATCAAAACAGCATGGTGCTAGTATAAAAATAGGCACATAGACCAATGCAAAAGAATAGAGAACCCAGAAATAAAGCCAAATACTTACAGTCAACTGATCTTCGACAAAGCAAACCAAATCATTAAGTGGGGAAAGGACACCCTTTTCAACAAATGGTGCTGGGATAATTGGCTAGTCACCTGTAGGAAAATGAAACTGGATCCTCATCTCTCACCTTATATAAAAATCAACTCCAGATAGATTAAGGATTTAAACCTAAGACTTGAAACTGTAAAAATTCTGGAAGGTAACATTGGAAAAACCCTTCTAGACATTGGCTTAGGCAAGGATTTCATGACCAAGAACCCAAAAGCAAATGCAATAAAAATAAAGATAAGTAGCTGGTACCTAATTAAACTAAAGAGCTTTTCCACAGCAAAAGGAACAGTCAGCAAACAGAAAACCCAAAGAGTGGGAGAAAATCTTCATAATTTATATATCCAACAAAGTACTAATATCCAGAATCTACAACAAACTCAAACAAACCAGTAAGAAAAATACAATCCCATCAAAAAGTGGGCTAAGAACATGAATAGGCAATTATCAAAAGAAGACATACAAATGGCCAAAAAACATGAAAAATGCTCAATATCACTAATGATCAGGGAAAAGCAAATCAAAACCACAATGTGACACTATCTTACTCCTGCAAGAATGGCCATAATCAAAAAATCAAAAAACAGTAAATGTTGATGTGGATGTGGTGAACAGGCAACACTTCTACACTGCTAGTGGGAATGTAAAATAGTACAGCCACTATGGAAAATAGTGTGGAGATTCTCTAAAGAACTAAAAGTGGAACTATCATTTGATCCAGCAATCCCACTACTGGGTATCTACCCAGAGGAAAAGCAGTCATTATTTGAAAAAGATACTTTCATGTGTATGTTTATAGCAGCACAATTCACAATTGCAAAATTCTGGAACCAACCCAAATGCCCATCAATTAAAGAGTGGATAAAGAAACTGTGATATGTGTGTGTGTGTGTGTGTGTGTGTGTATGTGTGTATACACACACACAATGGAGTACTATGCAGCCATAAAAAGGAATGAATTAACAGCATTTGCAGTGACTTGGATGAGATTGGAGACTATTATTTTAAGTGAAGTAACTCAGGAATGGAAAACCTAATATCATATGTTCTCACTGGTATGTGGGAGCTAAGCTATGAGGACCCAAAGACATAAGAATGATGCAATGGACTTTGGGGACTTGGGGGAAAGAATGGGAGGCGGGTGAGGTATAAAAGACTACAAATATGGTGCAATGTATACTTCTTGGGTGATAATTGTATCCAAATCTCACAAATGACCACTAAAGTAACCAAATACCAACTGTACCCCAATAACTTATGGAAAAAATAGGCTAATTAGTAACAATACAATGGTTTGTAAGGAGGGAAGGAAGGAAGATTTCCATGTTTCACTTTAAATTAAAAATTACAAATGATTGAGCTTATTGAGGAAGGTATGTTGAAAGCCAAGATAGGTTGAAAGCTAGGTCTCTTGTGAGAAATAGTAAGCCAAGTTGTAAATGCAAAGGAAAGTTATTGAAGGAAATTAAAAGTGCTACACAAGTGAACACACAAATGACAAGAAAACAAAATTTATCACTGATATGAAGAATGTTTTACTGGTCTGAATAGAAGACCAAAAAAGTTACAACATTCTCTTGAGTCAAAGCCTAATTCAGAACAAGGCTTTTAACTCTATGAAGGGTGAGAGAGGTATGAAAGCTGCGGGAGAAAAGTGTGTGAAGTTACCAGAGGTATATTTATAGGGTTAAGGAAAGAAACCATCTCCATAACACAAACAGTGAGTGCTGACATAGAAGCAGCAGGAAGTTACCCAGAAGTCTAGCTAAGATCATTCATGAACATGGCTACAGTAAACAACCTATTTTTAATGTAGATGATGCAGCCTTCTATTTGACGAAGAAGATGCCATCTAGGACTTTCTTAGCTAGACAGCAGAAGTCAATGCCTGGCTTCAAAGTTTCAAAGGACAGCCTAACTCGTGTGTTAGTAGCTAATGCAGTTGGTGACTTTAATTATTAAAATTGTGCAAATTGTACTCTGACTGTGCTCTAGAAATGGAATAACAAAACCTGGATAACAGCACATCTGTTTACAGCATGGTTTACTGAATATTCTAAGTGCAATGTTGAAATCCGTGTGTCAGAAACAGATTTCTTTCTAAACTATTACTGCTCATTGACCATGTACCTAGTCATCTAAGTCCTCTGATGGAGATGTTCAAGGAGATAATGTTGTTTTCATGCCTGCTAGTACAACATTCACTCTGTAGCCCATGAATCAAGAGAAATTTGAATTTTTAAGTCTTACTATTTAAAAAATACATTTCATGAGGCTACTGCTGCTACCTTAAATAATGATTCCCCTGATATATCTGGGCAAAATAAGTTGCAAACCTTCTGGAAAAAAATTCACCATTTGATATGCCATTAAGAACATCTGTGATTTATGAGAGGAGGTCAAAATACCCACATTAACAAGAATTTGGAAAAAGTTGCGTCTAACCTTCATGGATGACTTTGAGGGGTTCACGACTTCAGTGGAGGAAGTAACTGCAGATTTGGGGGAACTAGCAAGATAACCAGTATTAGAAGTGTACTGAATTGTTACAGTCTTATGATAAAACTTGAATGAATGAGCAGTTATTACTTATTGATGAGAAGAAAAATTGGTTTCTTGAGAAGGAATCTACTCCTGGTGAAGATGCTGTGAAAATTGTTAAAATGACAAAAAAAAAAAAAGATTTAGAACACTACATAAACTTAGTTGATAAAGCAGTGGCAATCAGTTTTGCTTTCTTGTCATTTGTGTGTTCATTGGTGTAGCACTTTTAATTACCTTCAGTAAGTTTTCATTTCATTTACAACATGGCTTGCTGTTTGGCTAGCTTTCAGCCTATGAGATATGGACATGTTTTGATTCTCAAAATACTATCAAACAGTTTTACATGCTCCAGAGATATCTTTAATGGAAAAGTCAATTGATGTGGCCCACTTCATTGCTGTTTTATTTTAAGAAATTGACACAGCCACCTCAAATTACAGAAATGACCACATTGGTCGGTCAGCAGCCATCAGCCTTGAGGCAAGACTCTCTAGCAGCAAAATTATTATGACACTTCCAAGGCTCAGGCAATTATTTACTATGTTCTTTTAGCAATAAAATATTGTTAAATGAAAGTTTATACATTGTTTTTATAGACATTATGCTATTTAACACTTAATAGACTACAGTATATTGTAAGCATAACTTTGATATGCATTGGGTAACCAAAAAAGTTGTGTGACTCACTTTATTGTGTTATTTCTTTATCGAGGTTGTCTAGAACTTAATCCACAGTGTTTTTGTGGCATACCTATAATTTTTGAGTTGGGCCACTTTGACAAAGTGCTGTTTTTCAAATGTAGTAAACCCCAATTAAAAATAAAAATCACGAAATTTAAAACAAAATCACTGTTATAGAAGTCAAGATTCTGGTATCCACATTATACAGAAGCCAGTAAACCAGCCTTTTGCATTCTCTTGAGGCTTAATTCTAAGCTGTTATATTACACCTGATGCTGGGATAACTCTCCCTTAGAATAGGACCTAGCAATCTGATGGAAATCTAGCAAACTGCAATTATAGAAAAACAAAAAGAGCTAATTAAAGTGTAAAGAATGCATATTTTACATACATATGAATGTCAAAACTAAAGCTCAGGACTCTAGAGAATAGGAAATAGGAACACCTTTTTAATTTACTTTTTAAACTTTCTCTGTTTATGAATGAAGACGGGGAAATGATATATGTTATGTAACACAAGGCATATTAAATGAGTTTATTTAAAATGATACATTGTATAAAATTATTATGCTCAACCTGAGTTCTATACAATAATAACTCCAAAACCTGGATATACATTAGAATCAACTTGAGAATTTGGTTTCTTTGGTCCTCTTTTAAAATATTTTTTAAACTTTTTGAGGGTTACATTTGCAGATTTGTTAGACAGGTAAACTTGTGTCCTGGGGGTTTGTTGTACAGATTATTTTATTAGTTAGGTATTAAGCCTAGTACCCATTAGTTTTTTTTCTTATCCTCTTTCTCCTCCCACCCTCCACTCTGAGAGGCCCCAGTGTGTGTTGTTCCCCTCTACATGTCCATGTGTTCTCATCATTTAGCTCCCATTTATAAGTGAGAACATGTGGTATTTGGTTTTCTGTTCCTGCCTTATTTTGCTAAGGATAATGGTCTCCAGCTCCATTCATGTCTCTGCAAAGGACATGATTTCATTCGTTTTCATCGCTGTATAGTATTTCATGGTGTGTATGTACCACATTTTCTTTATCTGGTCTACACTGATGGGCACTGAGGTTGATTACATGTCATTGCTATTGTGAATAGTGCTGCAATGAACGTACGTGTGCATACATTTGTCTTTATAATAATTTATATTAATTTGGATATATACGTGGCAATTAGATCACTGGGTCAGATGTTATTTCTGTCTTTAGGTTTTTGAGGAGTTGCCACACTGCCTTCTACAATGGTTAAAGTAATTTACACTCCCACCAACAGTGTATAAGTGTTTCTTTTTCTCTGCAACCTCACACCAACATCTGTTATTTCTTCACTTTTAAATAATAACCATTCTGACTGGTGTGAGATGGTATCTCATTGTGGTTTTGACTTGCATTTCTCTAATAATCAGTGATGTTAAGCTTTTTTTACATATGATTGTTGGCTGCATGTTTGTCTTTTAAAAAGTGTCTGTTTATATCCTTTGCTCACTTTTTAATGGGGTTGTTTGCTTTTTCTCATAAATTTGTTTCACAGTTCCTGGGGGATGTCTCTTCTTAACTTAATCAGAATATCTGGGATGGGACCAGGTGTTGGTAGGTTTTAAAATTTCTCATATAATTCTATTTTTCTTTTAATGTTGAGAACTATTGGTGTACATTATCACATCGATGCAGCAAATTAGTATAATAGGTTAATGGAAGTGAAAACACTGGAGAAAATTTAAAAACATATAGCACAAGAACTCACATTTTCCTACTAATGAATTTTCTAAAAAATCTATATATGACAATATGCAAATATTATAATCAAATATAATTGGAGGATATAGCTCATAGACTGTTATTCCAGTAGGATATTCAGTGAAAATAATAAAGTTGACTTTATTTTATTAGACTATATTTGTAATATAAAAGAAAGATGCACTTTTTCTGTATGATCAGAAATATATGCTCTGCTATTTTTCCTTTTTTTCTCTTTACTTTATAGGTCAAATAAAGGATGCAAAATATTATTTTTAATTGCATTAAAGCATACAATGTGAGTCTAGACAATCATTTGTTTCTTACATAAAACAAAATCCTAGAGATTCTAACAGCAATCCAAATTAATTCATTGGAAAAGAAGTCCATTATTTTTCTTTCAAAAACTTATTGCAAATAGTCATTATTACCCAAGTGTTGAATAATGGAGATTCATCTGATTTTGATGTAGTGAACAGGAAATAAACACTTGTAATACTTAAGGCATTTATGCAGTCAAAAATTGTGCTAACTCCTAAAATTCATCTATTATATTTCAGGAATTGCACAGGAATATAACTTTTACATATTTCACTTTATTAATTATATATTACATGATTTCATGTATATCACAATATGAATGAAATTATTACAAATTTTGAATAGCAGAAATTTCATACTATAAGTGCTAGAAATCTCATCTTAAATCACTATAAGATCTTGGAAATCTAAAGTAAAATGGTTACTCTACAATAGATTCACACATGTCAATTTATTTCTTCATAAATGTATGTATGAAACACACCTGATTATATGGGACATTTTACTATGATAGCGTTTTCTCTATGGGTTCAGTTTGAAAGTCTAACCAATCAGATGCAAGTAGCCATGATTAGAGATTTACCAACACTTCATAAATACTCAGAGTTTTCCATAACAAACATTTTAATGTATTAAATTAATTTCAGTCTTACTGGAACTTAGAAAAGCTCTATGAAAAACAAAAACCAATAGGTATCAATAAAAGCAATTTTCCAGCTTTCTACTGTAAAATTCTACCTGTGGAAGAGACCAACACTTTCTCAATGTTAATGCCTCAAGTAAAAATAAGGATGGGTTCTTATATCCAGATACTCAAAATAGCCTTTAAAGAAAATTGTATTACATTAAGTGAGCCCTTTGGCACGGTGTCAAAGTTCTTCCCTCAAAGCCTCTATTAGGATGTTCACTCCTATTGGTCCAAACAAGTCATGTTCAAAATCCCATATACCATAAGATTCTGTAAATTGCTCTTGTACGTTTCTCTAAGAGGAATGTTTACTTTCAGAACTTTTATTTGGACTACTGACTTATATCTACCTAGAGAATAGGATTTTATTATTAATCAACTGTGAGCATCATCTCAGAATCTTTCAACAATTTGAATTGAAATATGCAGTTAATAGATCATTCCACTTCACACATGATAAACATGTGAATGTGTAGGATCCATATATAGTGGTATCTTACAAAATTACTCTGTTAAAAAAAACTTTTTTTTTTCTCTAAACGTCTCACTTCCAAGTATTTTTATCCCTTCTGCAAATTAGACTGGGCAAGAAAGTCAGTCTGTGGTAAAATGATTCTATGTGAAAACACACCACATCGTGCACTGAAGCTGTCCATTAGGGAATCATTAGTAGGAAGACAATGAATGTTTCCCAGCCTGGAGCCTGTTAATTTTAACTTCATACATTTGCTACTGCGTATCTGTAGTAGATTAAATATTATGTAATGCTGTATTTACATCATCTCTTAGGGCACCTTTGTCTTGTTTTTCATTTATTACGCAGGGCTATCACTGATATTTTTCTGTTGCTCAGTTTTACCTACCAAAAAATTTTTGGTCAGTGCAATGCTGGGGGAAAAGCAACATGTTTAATAGAAATGTTTTGTCATTACTAAAACTTTACCGTGTTGAAAACTGTAGAAAGTCTCAGCTCTTTCCTACTCTTTAAGGATTTTCAGTGTGCTTCTGCTTGACTATTAAGCAAAACCTGTATTGAACACTTAGTTCATCCTTGAAGAAACACACTGAGTTTGAAGTTATTTAGCGCTAACATATAAATTTCTATTTGAACATATTTCCAGTTTCATTATGAGTATATAAAATAATGGGGCAGAGCCAGCAGCATGATTTAATGTCTTTCTCCAGAAACAGTTCTGCGTCTAGCAGAAAAACTAGATTTTTAAAAAAGGAAAAGAGAAAAAGATTACTAAAGCATCCTTACTCATTGCAAGCTCTCACAACAGAGGGCAGATTTTTTGTAAAACAAAGTCCAGATAAATAAAATATTTAAATGCTTTTATAATATTATCCCTTAAGATGTTTTCTTGATTTTCTTTTTCTGTAAATTATTTGTTTTGACAATAAGACTTGTTCTTGCCCTTAAAGTAGTTTAAGCTCGCCGATTTAACAATTTTTTTTAGAGTAGCCAAATTGTTTTATTCTTAATTCACAAGAGCAATTCAGAAAGAATTATTATATACTGTACAGATTTCTTAAAGTTCACTTTGTTGATTTCACTAATAAGCCTGGGCTCATGATTGTTTTACTGTCTTAACTAAAAAGATAGCCTTGGCTGGGTGCGGTGGCTCATGCCTGTAATCCCAGCAATGTGGGAGGCCGAGGCAGGCAGATCACCTGAGGTCAGGAGTTCAAGACCAGCCTGGCTAACATGGTGAAAACCCATCTCTACTAAAAATACAAAAAATTAGCCAGGTGTGGTGGCACATGCCTGTAATCCCAGCCACTGATGAGGCTGAGGCAGGAGAACCACTTGAACTGGGAGGTGGAGGTTTCGGTGAGCTGAGATTGCACTCTAGCCTGGGCGACAGAGTGAGACATAAAATGTGTGTGTGTGTGTGTGTGTGTGTGTGTGTGTGTGTGTGTGCGCGCGCGCGCGCGCGCGTGTCTATGTGCATATATACATATATATACATATGTGTGTGCATGTACATATACACATATATATGAATCAATACTGAAACATGCTTTTTTTGGGAGACTGAAACCAAATATCTAAGAATGTTCTTTTGTTTATTTAGGTTTTCTGTTTTTTTTTAATTAATATATGGGTGTATATATATACATATATACACACATATACATATACATATATATATATATACACACACATATATACATTCCAAATAAACCCCTTAAATTAAGTTAGAGGATAAAGGGTTCCAGAAGAGCAAGCACAGGTTGTATCCTATCTTCTCCTAAAGGGAAGCATTATGGGTCAAATGTCAGTAAATGTCAGCAAAATGATGTCTAACAAAATGTCTGAATTTGTCTGAGCACAGGAACTTTATTGTATAAGGGATCCCTTGAGAAAAGACAGCACTTATAACATATAAGCATTCATTAAGAAAAGTATTTTAATTGCAATGGCACGCATGATAGTGTATTTTGCCATTTTTTCTGATTTCTAAGAATTATACTTATTAGCAATGCTGCTGATGTGTTTCATTTTAGAAGATAGGAAAACCAAAATTGAGGATAATTGAAAACAAAGAACTTGAAATGGTTCTTCAAACAGTTCTTGAAACCATTTTTCTAATTACGTTTGCAATTATATTCTAGTCTTCATGTCAAAATTATTCCATGGTTTCAGAAGATAAAAAGACTATACAATTCATTCAGCAAGTCTTCTTTTATATACCCTTTTCCCCTGGGGACACTATACTAGCTGCACACACTTTTTACACTGTATGTTCTCAGATTTGCCCAATGACTAAAGTTACTGTCTCTCCATAGAATTCTGTCTGTAAAAGAATATGAAACAAAATGAATCAATGTTGAAACATGCTTTTTTTGGGAGACTGAAACCAAATATCTAAGGATGATCTTTTGTTTATTTAGGTTTTCTGTTTTTTTTGTTTTTGTTTTTATCAAAAGAGACTTTTAAACAACTCTGGACTAACAAAGACTCAATTATACTGGGTTGCCTGAATTTCCTTCATTCTTAAATTTTGGGACAACATACAAACAGTAAAATACACAAATGTTAAGTATACATTCCAAAGAATAAATACACACATATGTACGTGTATGCATGTGTGTACGTAGCAGCACTAATTATATCCACATAGAGAATATTTCCAATATTCCTCCCAGTCATACTCTCCCATAAGTAACCACTATTTGGACTTCTATTATCTTAGATTAGTTTTGTCTGTTGACAATTTTATATAAGTTGCATCATATAGACATATTTTTTGACTTCTGTTATTTATTATGGTATTTGCTGTAACAGTAGTATTTTTCTTATTATTCACATGTAGTATTGCATTTAAAAATTCTTTATATATTCCATTTTTGATAGGCATTTGGTTTATTCCAAATTTTGTCCCCCATGACCAAAGTTCTCTGAAGTTTCTTGTAAATATCTTTTGGTAGAAATATAAATTTATAAATTTGAGGCATACACCCAGGAGTGGAATCGTTTTCAGTAGATACTCAGTTGGCATAAGTATCATAGATATTGACAGATAGTCTTCCAAAGTGATTATTTCATCTGGATATTCCTAAATAGATGGTAAAATGGTATCACTGTGACTTCTTCTACATTAGAATCTCTATATTACTATGTTTACTGGAAATAGTATCACTATTATATTACGCATTTTGGAAGTAGATAACACTTCACTCTGTATCATAGTCTTTCCAGGTAAAGTAAGTCACAAAGCCATGGGACAGGTCCAGTAGTAATACCAGAGGGGAAGAAGGATCTGCAAAGGACTGGGATAAACAGCAAGTGGTTTCTAATTATTTGGTGCTCATACAGGGCTACACCATGTTCTAGAGTAGTCAGCACTCTTTTTCTGTAACAGGCTAGATAGAAACTGTTAGCTTTGTGGTTTCTGTCACAACCACTCAATTTTATGAATTTTGTAAAACATTAATGTGTCAGAAAATATCATTCCACTTTTGAATTTTGTACAACTATTCAAAATTGTGAAAACAATTCATAGCTCAAAAGCCATTCATGAAGGTGTGGCTGACTAGGTTTGACCCATGGGCTATAGTTGGTGACATGGAACAAGGAATCTTTTTAAACAACTCTGAGCTAACAAAGACTTCCCTCTTGAACTATGCTATCTTACTTTCCTTCATATTTTAAAGTGAATAACAATATACACTGTTCTCGCTGAAAAAAGATATGTGAGATACCATATATGCTATTAATAGTTCAATTGAGCTGTTCCACAATGTATACATTATTTCAAAACAACATGTTCTACCTAATACATAAATATAATTTTATATGTCAGTTAAATAAGTAAATAAATATACAAAGAGAAAGAAATAATATAGTTTTTCTTAGACTTCTGAAGTCACTAGGTATAACTCAATTTAAGGAGTAGGAAGTTACACTCAACCTCTTTGAGAGTAAAATATCTATTATAAATAAATCATTTTGAATTATTCTGCATGAGAGATATCTTTATTAATAAAATGAAAATAAAATAAAATAATTACATAATTTTAAAAGATAAATGTTGGTGAGGATGCGGAGAAAGGGAAATTTTTATTTACTGTTACTGAGAATGTAAATTTCTATAGCCTTGATAGAAAACAGTCTCTTCAAAAAATTTAAAAATAAGTATCAAATGTTCTAGCAATCTGACTCCTGGGTATATATCCAAAGAAATTAAAATCAGTATGTTGAAGAGATATCTGTACTCCCATGTTCACTGCAGCATTATTTACAATAATCAAGACATGGCAACAACCTGAGTATCTATTGAGAGATGACTGGCTAAAGAAAATGTGGCATAGATGTATACAATGGAATATTATCATCCATAAAATAGAAGAAAATTCTGCCATTTTTGACACATGTAAGAACCTTAAAGACATCATACAAAGTAAAGTAAGTCACAAAAATGACAAATACTGTATGTTCTCACTTACACAAGTTATCTTAAGAGGTGGAAACTATAGAAACAGAGTAATTGCAGTTGCGAGGGTTTGGGAGGTAGTAGAGATGAGATGATGTTGGTTAAAGGGTACAAACTTTCATTTATAAGATGAATATCTTAAGAGGATCTAATCTTCATAATAGTTACCATAGTTAATAATACTATTATATACTTGAAATTTACTAAGAGAATAGATCTTAAATGCTATCACACACACACATACTCGCATTAAATACGTGAGGATGTGATAATTAGCTTAATTATTTCACAATGTATACATTTTATACTTTATACACTCCAAAAACATACAATTTTGTTAGTTATACCTTAATAAAGTTGAAAGCAAAAAGATGTCTGCTTCAGGTAGGCCTGTGTAGCCCCTATCAGACTAATTCCCATGCAGAGTTTCTGGATAATTTAGGAATGTGGGCAGATAGCAGAGGGAATTTAACACTTTAAAGAAGGAAACATTATAAGATCAATACCCTATTTCTTATGGCTTCTCACCCTATGGAATGATGGTCTACACTCTGCAGATGACTGAAATTCTATATAAAAACACACTTGCTAGCTTAAAAGAAATATCATAGGAAAATGTCCAGGGAATCCATGCCCACATCTACTGGAAGTTAAGGGGCTAAATTTTAGAAAGAAGAGAGCCAGAGAAGGAGAACCTAAATCCCATTTAAACTCTTTCTGAGTCTATGGGTAACATCTGAACTACACAAACACAAAGCAGACACCCATGCATTTTAAATCCTTTCTGGAATTTTGCCTACTGTACTGAGTACGTATTAACTGTAGGCAAATTATTCCTTGAAAAATGGGAAATCTAATTTTAACTCTGCCAATAAGAAGCAAAAATGGTTTACATTTTCAGAGTCCAATTGTGCTAGAGTGAATAATTCATAGCACCTCAAAGTAAGAGATAAGACAGATAATTCATCCAATTCACTCTAAAATGCCCCCTAGCTCTTAGATGGTGTGGTACATGCACATTCCTTCCTGCCATCTGAAGTCACATTATTGTGACAATTATTGGATATCACATAGGACATGAGTTATTTTTTGTAGTAAGCTGAATTATGGCTCTGGGTTTTTTATAACATTTTTGTTAGATTGAGGCTTTAGAATTAAAATTTTTAACTTAATCTCCTCTCATTAAAAATTTAAAATAAATTGGAAACTGCAACTGGATTAAACTAATGCCTTGTGGTAGTCTTTAGTACTGATCTATAGCATTTCTATTTCTCTTCCTCCTTGATATAAACTAAAATTGCATTTCACTCTTATAGCTAATGAAAGATGAACATAAATGACATATAAAATCACTGGAGTATAGCCTTGAAGAGTTAATGCACATTTTTTTTCTGTCTTTCCCTATTTCTATAGTAATTAGTGGTATTTCACATGGTAGTTACTTTTGACTCCCTGAGAGATGATAACACAGAAACAGGAAAAATATTTAAAAAGAGGAAAGCATATTATGTATCTCCATGCAAACATATAATGGACAAGTACCGCCCCCCGCCCCCCAAACTAGGATGGAGGGGGAAAAGAATGTAGGTTATTGAAAAAAAGAGTAAGCCAGAAATAAAGAAGATGAGGTGGTATATTTGGTGGGTATTGACTGAGCACTGCTAATTAAACAGGAATTCTTGTCGAGACTCCCCATCCCTGATTCTGAGCCAGAAAATATTCAATGGACTTTATGAAGGTGTCTCTTTATATAAACACATATACTTGTCAATTTTAAAATGACTTTCTAGAACTTTCAATCATGTAGAATAATAGTAACTCATTTGCCAACCAAAACATGAAAACTAAAAAAAGCATCACCTTTCAGGATGGTTGCATATTATTTCAATATCTGAAAACTAGAGAAATGCACCACTACATAGTAGCTATAGCATGTAGAGAAGAATTCTATACTTGGCATTTTGAAAGGCAAAGACCCTCTCAACCAACTTCGTTACACAGCTCTCCACCACACATGGCATAAAATGAAAACCCAAGATATAGAAGAAATTAATATGCATTTAACTTGACTCTAAACTATTTTGGATGGTATAATATTCACAATACTGTCTCTCTTTTTTTTTCCAGGAAAAAAATGAAGTGCTCAGGATAGCACAGAAAAGTCAACAAATATTTTGATATGTTTCTCCATAACAGGGCAGAAAATGATTTTCTAAGTTCAAAGAAAAATGAAAGTCACTGGTGGTCTCTAAATAATTCAGACTCCATATGCAAAATGGATCCGCAATGTGCTCATACTAGAAAATGAACAACTCTAAATGTAAAAGAGCTCTGATAATACAAACTGAAGCAGTCCTACTTCATGGAATCTGGAACTAAGTAAACATAAAAACTGGTAATATGTGAGAAATAAATATAGCAATGAAAAATATGCCCAGAAGTTCCTTAAATTTTTCAATTATTCATCTTATATTTTCATTTTGTGTGTGTGAGGGAAGAGATCTTGAGTATAAAATTCTAAAATATGTGAGCATTTTATTCTCTTCCTACCTGTTTGACTGTTCACCCATATAATGGAATGTGACAGAAAAGTTATTTTTGTAAACATATTTAGCTTAGCTAGACATACACAGAGCATAATTTTCTATTTTCTTATGGGCCAACAAGTGGCATTCTTATATATCGGAATTCTACAAGAACACAAGTCTTCACTTCTAGTAAAAATGCATCTGTTCCCTTGCTGCTCTATCAAGTTTAGTTACTCAAATACTATTGAATGAAGCTGGACTCCTAGACTCCCTGTGTAGTCCAGCCTGCTAATAGTGCATCTGTAAAAGTCTTCTAAAGATTCCCGTGGAAATGTTTCAACAGATATAATAACTTAAAAAAAAACCGAAGAGCTAAAAAGGAAAGGTTATCAAGTGGAACAAATATCAACAACTTGGAAAAACAGATGCTTGAATCCTTTCCACCTGAAAAGTATTTATTAAGCCTGGTATTTGCCTGGCCCTGTTTCAGGCACTAAATGATATTAATTAATGTTGCTGACTTGAATTTTGCCTTTAAATATTCATATAAAAGAAATAAAGTATTCCAACATGTGCTTTAGATATTGACAACAAAAACACCCAAAGGAAAAATAACGAGGAAAGTTTGTTGAAAATATCAACTTTCAGCATTTGAGTCATTGCATGATTAAAACACTGCATTAAAATTTGAGAGACACATAAATGTTATAATTCAATTATAGTACAACTTGGATTTAAATACATTTTGTAGTTGAGATACAACACATGACCTCTGGGAACACATAAGAAAACTAAGTGCATAATTTACTTTCCTACAAAACTTATAGAGGATGTTAAATTTAAGTCAAATACAGTATTAACATGTAAATATATGACAGATGAATATGATTTTGACTGGAGAAAAAAATGGGATGATATTAGAAAGATTAAAATAGCATAGCTTAGGAGGATAAGATGCAACTTGGATACTGCTTTGAAGAAATGATTCATTCTGATTGAAAGTAAGGGAAATTTAAGAATGCAAAGTATAAAAATGCAGCCGGGCACAGTAGCTTAAGCCTGTAATCTCAACACTTTGGGAGGCAGAGGCAGGCGGATCACCTGAAGTCAGGAGTTCCAGCCCAGCCTGGCCAACATGGTGAAACCCTGTCTCTACTAAAAATACAAAAATTAGCGGGACGTGGTGGCAGGAGCTTGTTATCCCAGCTACACGTGAGGCTAAGACAGGAGAATCGCTTGAACCTGGAGGTGAAGGTTGCAGTGAGCTGAGATCACGCCACTGCGTTCCAGCCTGAGCAACAAGAGTGAAACTCCATCTCAAAAAAAAATATGAAAATGCATATTGAATATAGAACATAGCAACTATTATCACATATATAAATATTTAATAAAATATACATATATTTATACATAGACAAAATGTGTCCTTTTGACTTTTTTCCAGAAGATTATAATATGTTTTATTTAATTTTATTTTTATTTATTTATTTTTTAGAGACAAGTTCTCCCTCTATCACCCAGGCTGGAGTGTAGTGGCATGATCATGATCATAGCTCACTGCAGCCTTGAATTCTTGGGCTCAAGTGATCTTCCTACCTCAGCCTCGCCCAGTTAATTATTTAAAAATTAAAAAAAAAATTAAAAAAAAATTGGAGAGATGGGCACTTGCTATTTTACCTAGGCTGACCTTGAACTCCTGGCCCCAAGTGACCCTTTGGCCTTGGCCTCTCAAAGTGCTGGGAGTCACTGCACCCAGCCAAAATATGTTTTAGAAAGCAACTCTGAAAATAGTATAAAAGAGAAACTAGAGAGATAAGAGTTAATGAGCACTGTTTTAATCAGTCATTCATGTATCTGTTTTGGCACAACAATTACTTTAAGGTGTTTGGCAGAACCCCAATTCCTTGAGATGTTAAGAAATGTTATGTTAGAAGAAAACATCTGAGATAAAATACAAGAGTGTTAAGGAGTGTTACGGAACAAAATAAATAATTTTTGGGGTCAAATAAATTTGGAAATACTGATTGGAGAGTTAAGCAAAAATATTCACTAGAGGTAATAGGATATATTAGAACATGTTAATTTATTTTCAGGTGGAGACCATTTCATGCAGAATTTCTAAAATGTTTACATTTCCATTTTTTTTTTTTAGGAGTGTTTCAAGGGAGTGGTATGCCAACTAATACATTTCTGAAGGACAGCTTTTAAATTACTAACTTATATTACCTAAAACTTCCTATAAATGCTAAAGTCAAAGTGATGGGTATAACTAAAGAAAGGGGCTAAAGTGGAAATTGAGGGCCATATGATGTTTCTGCCTCACTTTTCACCCTACTTCAGTAATGTCACAAGTGGCTATCCTAATTCCTAAATATTTTAAGAAGCTTCTGTAGCCCATATGCTTTAACTCAAAAAATCTTCTTCAGAGTCCATTGAAATCCATATTATTTACGGCATATAGTGATTAATCTGTAAAACCCACTGGCAGCTACTGTTGCCTTGGGTTTTTATTTTATTATCATGCTTACAGGTTTTTGATGGCATAATAATATATGAAGTGTGACAGACTAGAGAATCTATTACATTTCTTTCCACACAAAGAGGATTTAATATGCCTCTTCTTTATTGTAAAACACTGACAACTAAATATGGCAAAGAAAACGCAGAAGAGAAACAACAACAAAAAAGAAAAACAAACAAAAACAGAAACAAAGGGCATTGAGATAAGAAAGAAAATGGAATAATTAGAAAATGTCTCATTTCCACATCTACAGCAGGAGTCCAGCATTTGTAGAACATAATGGGGGCAAAGGGAAAGGCTGAAACATAGAAATTGACCAATAGAAGCTGGGCACAGTGTCTCATTCCTGTAATCTCAGCACTTTGGGAGGCCAAGGCAACTGCATCCCTTGAGCTCAAGTGACAGAGACCAGCCTGGCAACGTGGCGAAAACACATGACTACTAAAAAATACAAAAATAGGCATGGTGGCAGTTACTAGGAAGGCTGAGGTGGGGGGAATCTCTCAAGCCCAGGCTGTGGAGGTTGAAGGGAGCCAAGATCATGCCACCACACCTCAACCTCCTAGCTTGGGTGACAGAATGAGACCCGGTCTCAAAAAAAAAAAAAAAAGAAATCAACATGGCACATGTACACATATGTAACAAACCTGCACGTTGTGCACATGTACCCTAGAACCTGAAGTATGATAAAAATATATATATAAAAGAAATTAAGAAATTGACTGATAGAGACCTTCTTGTATTAAAATATTAAAATACAGTTTTTCTTTTCCTTCTTTCCAGTGCCTCGAGTATACTGTACTCCTTCCCTGTTTGTATCACTTTGCACACAGGCCTCTATGCTAGATAAATCTTATCTTTCTGTTCAAATTCTGAAAGCATCACCATTTTCAGGGAACTGTGTCAATAAATATGATTTCTTTTTTTGTCTGCTATTATTTAAGCTGTCATAATGAGAATTTGATCCATTGGACAGGATGAAGTAGATAACCCTTGGATGGGATCATGCTTTGTGGGTGCTCAGTGAGCACATGAAAAACGATAGTTACTTTGACATTTCCTTGGGGAAGTCATGGTTATGATCAGAGTTGCTAATATTTTACTCAGATTATTAAAAGCATGTATAATTTATTTATTTGGAAATGTTTCTTTTGTGACCCAACGCTTCTCTTCACCTATTCTGAGGAAAGGTTTCATTTTCCTCTCACAGGAGCTACATTTGAAAATAGAAGAACAAAGTCTTCAGGAATTCACTGTAGAGGGAAAACCCACATTCCCCATGACTCTCCCATACTGGGCTTTTCACTCCCTAAAGAATTTTACCTACATGTTAAATCTGAGATAGTAGAGTGACCTGAAAAAAGGGAAATTGTACAAAAAGCAGGCAAGACTAATTCAAAGATGCACAAAGCATAATTGAAGCAATGTGCCATCTATGTCAATGGCAGGGAGAAGCAGCAGGAGGCTAAGATAGAAGAAAACAAACGGCAGAAGAATGACTCAATTTGAAGAAAAACATGGTTTGCCGCAAGGGTAAGTAGCAGCCTTCCTGAGGACAGAGAAAATCTCTATTGGCAGAGTCCAAAGTAATAATTTGTCAAATAGCTCACAAGGATGTCAGAACAGAAGGGGCAGCTGGTCACTGTGTATTTTATCACAGTCACAGATATGGTGCATAATAATAGCAACCAGAACCACTAGTTTGAAGGACAAATACATGATTATAATATAAATAAAATACACATTTATATAAAGGGACATTAAATCATCAGCCCTAGTTATCTCAGTTGATTTCCCTAGATTTCTATTCTATGACATACATTTATATAATATGATGAACATAACATGATGCTGCGTGATATAATTGTAATATAATGTTACCTTGCACTAGACAAATTAACTCTGTAAGTTCCAGGTCTATGACTTTTTACCTAACTACAAATGTGTTCAATTAATATGAATTAAATGAGTAAATATTGACTCATACATTTTAACTCTCAGGCAATTCCACATTCAGAGGTCAGAATAAACTCAAGAGCAAATAAATCTTTACTTAATTTGCCTTTCTCCCCCTTCCTTACCTTTATTTTATATGAAAATTATAATGATTATAGAACAAATTTAGTATAGGAGGGTTTTTTTATTTTTATTTTTTTGAGTCAGAGTCTTGCTTTGTCGCCCAGGCTTAGGTGCAGTGGCACGATCTCGGCTTACTGCAAGCTCAGCCTCATGGGTTAAAGTGATTCTCCTGCCTCAGCCTCCTGACTAGCTGGGACTACAGGTACGTGCAACTGCGCTCAGCTAATTTTTGTAATTTTAGTAGAGATGGGGTTTCATCATGTTGGCCAGAATGATCTAGAACTCCTGACCTCAGGTAATCCACCCACCTCAGCCTCCCAAAATGTTGAGATTACAGGCATGAGCCACTGCACTTGGCTGAGAAGTTATTTTCCTTAAAATAAAATTAAAAAGATGTCAGTGTTAACTTTTGCTTATGAGTATGGTGGAGTGTTGTCAGACACTATGTAAATGGTGTCAAGTCCGTTGGTATTAATAGTGAAGAAAACAACTATATATCTGGGCAAAATCCAAGACAATGATAGACTGGATTAAGAAAATGTGGCACATATACACCATGGAATACTATGCAGCCATAAAAAATGATGAGTTCGTGTCCTTTGTAGGGACATGGATGAAATTGGAAATCATCATTCTCAGTAAACTATCGCAAGAACAAAAAACCAAACACCGCATATTCTCACTCATAGGTGGGAATTGAGCAATGAGATCACATGGACACAGGAAGGGGAATATCACACTGTGGGGACTGTGGTGGGGTGGGGGGAGGGGTGAGGGATAGCATTGGGAGATATACCTAATGCTAGATGACGATTTAGTGGGTGCAGTGCACCAGCATGGCACATGTATACATATGTAACTAACCTGCACAATGTGCACATGTACCCTAAAACCTAAAGTATAATAAAAAAAAAAAAAAGAAAAAGAAAAACTGTTATGTTTCTCAGTTGGATTTTTTCGTTTTTGCTTTTTATTTCTAATTTTGTTTCTTTAAGTCATGCCAGGGAGATGCTAAAGAAACTGTACTAGGAGTTACAACATTTGAGAGAGGGGAAAATACAGAGATGTTAGCTGTCAGTCAACAACCAACATTCTGGGCACAGGGTAAGTAGGTTTGAATTCAGAATTTGCTAGTTCACAGAGATGCAGTTGAAGAATACAGAAAAAACAAGCAGAACTTCTGTTGGTCTCAAGGGATTAGACAGAAAAAATTAGAGACTTCAAAGACAAGATAATATTAGGTTGTTGCAAAAGTTATTACGGTTTTTGCCACTAAAAGCAATGGCAAAAACCGCAGTTACTTTCGCACCAACATAACTAGTAAAAAGCAGTGAACTGAGTGAGACACACTGCTAGTTTTCTCTTCAAGGCAAAATCTGAAGCCACTTAATTTAGGAGGTTAAAAAAACCTTCCTACTTATTCCAATAAGCAAATCAGAATATTCAGAAATTCTACTTCGCTAAAGAGAAAAGAACATATTTCAGAACTTATAAGGACTACTGCAGGATTATAACCATGGTTGTGACCATTATGAAAAAGAGAAGAGATAAAAAGTGTTGGCAAGAATTGGAGAAAAAGGTTGTGCACTGTTGGTGGAAATATAAATTGGTACAAACCTTATGGAAAGCAGTATGGAAGTACCTCAAAAAAAACTTAAAATAGAACTACCATATGATCCAGCAGTCCCGCTTGGAACATACCCAGGTACACAAAATTGATGTTGATACCCTGGCCACATCATATAAGAATTCTACTCCAGTTAAATAATAGTTTCATAGGCAATGCCATTTTACAAAATGTAACTGTCCTGTGTGCTTATAATTTATATGCTCTTCTAAATTCATAAAAGTATTTCCCTTAAGACTATCTTGTCCTATTTCCTTTCAGTGCTTTCAATGAATATAAATTATCTTTAAATTTTCTCTCAGATTATAGAAAATCATGTCTGTAATAATGTGAAGTAATATTTTCTGATTATTAAATTATTGCACTTTCATTGTAGAAAATTAATTTCACTATATTTATATGACTTTTGTATACTTTATTATGTAGTTGAGTTAAAAGTACAAGCTGATTTTAAAGCAGAACTAATTAAGCTGTAGTTAATGATCCCAGAAGGAAGAAGATTTAACTACTGCTTGGTGATTTTATGATAAATATCTGCCACTGCATTTATTAGTTTGCTAATCTTCCCCAATTAGAAATATGGGTTGAGACATTTAACATTAGTTTCAAAGATGCAAACTAAGATGGCTAAAATTTCTTGGCAAAGAAAACAGCCGTTCTGTTGTAGCATTGCTTTTCAGTTTTACTATATCATGTTACTGTTTATGTTAACTAGTTTTCTAATCACATTTTAGCTCGCCTATAACTTGTTGATATTTTCTTAACTTCATTTTTGTTACAAATGTCAAATTTTAAAAATTTGATTATATAAAGTTATAAAGACATTTGAAAACATACAATGGGTGTGAATCAAATAAGCATTAAAAATTCATAAAGATCATCACAAATCTCACACCTAGTCATTAATCCATTAACACGAGGATATATAGTCATACAGATGACTGTCATTGATATGGTTTGGCTCTGTGTCCCCACATCTTGAATTGTAATCCTCATAATTCCCAGGTGTAGAGGGAGGGACCAGATGGGAGGTGATTGGATCACGGGGGTGGTTTTACCCATGCTGTTCTGGTGGTAGTGAGTGAGTCTCACAAGACCTGATGGTTTTAAAAGTGGCAATTTTTCCCATGTTTGCATTAATTTTCTTCCTTGCCACCTTGTGAAGAAGGTGCCTGCTTTCCCTCTCCTATGATGGTAAGTTTCCTGAGGCTTTCCTAGCCATGTTTCCTGTTAAGCCTATGGAACTGGGAGTCAATTAAACCGCTTTCCTTTATAATTACCCAGTCTCAGGTAGTATCCTTCATAGCAGTGTGAAAAGTAGCTAATAAAGTCATTTCCTAAATAAACTTATTTATAAATACCAAGTTCTCAAGATCATACCCAGCACACAAATCAATCATTTTTCAAGTAACGGATTTATTGTGATATAATATACAAACCATAAAATTTACTTTCAAATTTGTACAATTCAGTAGTTTTTAGTATATTCATACAGTTGTACAATTATCATGACTATCTAATTTTAGAACAGTTTATCACTCTAAAAAGGAAACAACTCACTCTTCTTTCTTCCCAAGGCCCTGGGATACACAAATCTACCTGCTGTCTCTGTGCATTTGCCTGTTCTGCAGATTTTACACAAATTGATTTATTTAATATGTGGCCTTTTAAAGGTGTCTGGCTTTTTAAAATTTGTTATAATGTTTTTAAGCTTCATTTATGCTACCGCATGTATCTATACTTCATTCCTCTTTATTGCCAAATACTATTCCATATTATGACTATGCTACATAGTCATAATTTATGTGTTATAGTTTATGTGTTAGCCAGTTGTTCAACTTTTGGGTCATATCTGAATTTTTGCTAATATGAAGAATGATGCTAGAAAAATGACATGTTTTAATGTGGACATATGTTTTTAATTATCTTGAGTATATGCTATATATGTCATTTTTTGAAACTTTCAAACTGTTTTTCAAAGGGTCTGCACCATTTTACAAATCCACCAATATTTTAGAATAATTCTGATTTCTCCAAATTCTTGGCAACACTTGTAATTGTGTTTCTATTTTTTTATGTGAGCCCTCCTACTGGGTACAAAGTAATATCGCATCAAGGATTTGATTTGAATTTGTCTAATGACTAACAGTGTTGAGCATCTTCTCATGTGCTTATTGACCAATGTATTTTTTTTTAGAGAATTGTTCATTAAAATAATTTTCACCTTTTAACTAAGTTATTCACATTTTTACTAGTGAGTTATAAGTGGTATTTATATTTTCTAGGTACAAGTCTCTTATCAGGTATATAAATTTCAAATGTTGCTATGATTATATGTGTTGAGTTTCCCTATCTGAATGATGTCCTTTGAAGCACAAAAGTTTTTAATTCGATGAAGTCAAATCAATGAACTCTTTCTCATTTTGCTTTCTTATCTTGCTTCATATCCAAGAAACATTATTTACAGAACTCTTGCTCCCATATTTTCTTATAAGAATTTTATAATTTTAGCTTTAATATTTAGGTCTATAATCATCTTGATTTGATTTTTGTATATGTTGTCAGGTAGGGCTCAACTATCATTGTTTTTCATGTTAATATACTTTTGTCTCAGTAAGATTTGTTATAAATACTGTTTCCCTATTTATCTTGGTAACCTTCTCTAAAATCAGTTGACCATAAAAAGGAATTTATTTTCAACTTTTATTACATCCAATTTATCTACAAGTTTATCCATATGCAATACCATATTGTACTGACTACTGAAACTTTGTGGTAAATAATAGAAATCTGGAAGAGTGAGCCCAAACTTTGTTGTTCTTTTCAAGTTGTATTGGCTAATCTGGTTTCTTTGCATTTTCATATAAATTGAACAGTCAGTTGTGATTTTATAGAAAAAAGTAGCTGAGGTTTCAGAGCAATTGTATTGATTTAGTAGATCATTATAGATTATTGATATTTTAAGTTTTGCCTTCCAATTCATTAGTGTGGGATGTCAGTTTTCAATTCTTTAGGCCTTCTGTAATTTCTGTCAACAATGTTGTGTAATTGTTAATGTACAAATCTTAAGCTTTTTTTAAATGTATTGTTTTCTTTATTTTCATGCTATTGTAAATGGAATTGTTTTTGAAATTTATTTTTTGATTTTGCCATTGTATAGAAATGAAATACATTTGTATGTTAATCTGGTATTCTGCAAAGTTGATAAACTTGTATATTAGTTCAAATAGTTTTGCATGTATGTGTATGTATGGATTCCTCATGATTTTCTATATATGAGATTATTTCACCTGCCAATAGAGAGAGCTTTTCTTGTCTTCAAATCTAAATGGCTTTTATTTCTTATCCTTGTCTACTTATCCTGGCTAGAACTTCCAGTACCATGTTGAATGGAAGTGGTGAGAGCACACATTCTTGTTCTGTTTGTTATCACAGGGGAAAAACATTTAGTCTTTCATTAAGTATTATATAAATAAGTATGAGTATATAATCCAATGCTTTATCAGATTCAGAGAGTTCTCTTCTAATCATAGGTTATTGTGTGATTTTATCATGAATGTGCATTGGATTTTATCAAGTGTATTTTCTGTTTCTATTGAGACAACAATTTTTTTATCCTTTATTCTATTAATGTCTTACACTGATCCCAATAAATCATGTTTTATAATTCTCTATATGTTCCTAAATTCAGTTTTTAAATATTTTGTTGAGGGTTATCATGTTAATGTTAAGAAAATATAATTTGTTATTTTATGTGATGTCTTTGGTTGTATCAGGGTATTTCTGGCCTCATAGAATGATTTGGAAAGTGAATTTCTAATTTTTTTAAGTGTTTTGAAGGACTGGTGTTAATTCTTCTTTAATCACTTTGTAAAATTCATCAGCTTCACTGGCACCTAGGCTTTTCTTCCATGATTTTAAGTTTTTAATTTAATGTAATACTTGGTATAGGTGTACTTTATGATGTGGAATACAGGGGAATCCACTTGAACACAGTTTAGGCAAATTATATGGTGATGTCTTTGCAGATGTGATTAAATGAAAGATCTTGAGATGAGTAGATTATCCTGGTTATTCAGATGGGCCCTAATTGAGAGCCCTAATTGAGAGCACAAGTGTCCTACTAAGATAAGGGGTAAGAGAGATTTGACACAGATAAAGAGGGGACTGCATACTCACACAAGAGAAGGCTGTAAGAAAATAGAACCAAGTGATTTAAAGATGTTGGCCTAGAAAAATCAGCATAATGTAGCCACAAGCCAAGGAAAGCTGACATCCACAAGCACCTGGAGGAGACAAGGAATGATTCTCATCTAAAGCCTTTAGAGAATATGAAGCCCTGCTAACACCTTTGTTTTGGCTCAGCGATACTGATTTTGGATTAGTGGCATCCAGAACTCTAAGAACATAAATTTCTGTTGTTTTAAGCCACCACGTTCGTGACACTTTGTTTTTATTTTTTCTTTTCACCATTTTTATAATAATAAAGTGTACATATTTATGGTGTAACATGATGTTTTGAAATATATATATACACACACACATATATATATCACAAATATATACGCATTGTGGAATGGCTAAATCAAGCTAATTAACATATCTACTTACATCACATACTTTGTGTGTGTCTGTGTATGTGTGTGTTTGGTCAGAACACTTAAAATCTATTCTCTAGTATTTTGCTATAGTAGTTACAGAAAACTAATTCATAGATCTATATTCAGATTTTTAAAAATTTTTACTGAAGTCAGCTTTGTAGTCTGTGACTTTTCAAAATATTTATCCTTTTTTTGTTTTTTTTTTTTTTGAGATGGGTCTGGCTCTGTTGCCCAGGCTGGAGTGCAGTGGCATGATCTCAGCTCACTGCAACCTCTGCTTCCCAGGTTCAAACAATTCTACCTGCGTCAGCCTCCCGAGTAGTTGGGATTACAGGTGCCTACCACCATGCCTGGCTCGTTTTTGTATTTTTTTTTAGTAGAGATGGGGTTTCACCATGTTGGTCAGATGGGTCTCAAACTCCTGACCTCAGGTGATCCACCTGCCTCAGCCTCCCAAAGTGCTGGGATTACAGGCATGAGCGACTATGCCTGGCCAATATTTATGTATTTTATCATTTAAATAATTAGTTGGGATTGAATTGTTAAGGTTCTGCCTTGTAATTCTTTATATTTGTGTATGTTTAGTGTTAATTTTCTCGTTTTTCATTCTAGATTTTTTGTGATTTGATGGCTTCACTCTGTTTTCCAGGCCAAGTAACTTAAAATTTGTCAGCTTTGTAGATCAAAGCATCAGCTTTGGTTTTGTTGATTTTCTTTATGACTAGTGTCCTTTATTTCTGCTGTAATCTTCATTATTTTCTTCCTAGTGCTTGCTTTAGGTTTAATTCTTTTTCTAGTGTTATAAGGTATTATAAAGTTCTCATATAGCACTGTTTTAGCTACATCCTATACTTTTTGTATGCTGTATTTTTATTTTCATTTATTATAGCATGTCTAATTTCCTTGGGATTTATTCTTTGTCTCCCTAGTTACTTAGAAGTGTGTTTAATTGGTACATATTTGTATCAACAGAAACAGATGTACTTACATGCTGGCATGACTTAAGCTCTCTCTCTTCTCTTACAACTCATCTTTCTCAACCAAACTTTTTATAATGGTTGTCACCAAGACCCAGTGCCTCCGCTTCTCCTCCTTTCATTCTACACTGTGGTTCTCACTCCTCACTGCACTTTGTGTTACATGGAGAGCTTCCTCTGCCCTCACCACCACCCCGATCCTGCAGCACTGACCTTCTCTAGAGCCAGGCTCTTCATTGACCCAAGCTAATGTTACCTTTGCCCAGAGAGCTCTTCTCTGGGCTCTCTGTCACATCACCTTTATCACGTCTTGGATGAAGTGCCAATTCTTTAGGAACTTTTAGCTGTTCTATCCAGGTCAGGTTAACTTAACCTAGGTTATTTATTCATTGGCATTCTGTCCACTTTCTTCACAGAACTTATTAAAACTGTGACTGTATTATCCTTGGTATTAGTTGAGTAGGCTGCCATTACAAATTATCACAGACTGGGTGTCTTAAACAAACAAACAATTATTTTCTCTCAGTTTTGGAGGTCAGAAGTCCAAGTTGTCAGGAGTTTGGTTCCTTCTAACAGTCATGAGGGAAAGAGCTATTCCAGGCCTGTCTCTTGGCTTAGAGATGACTCAAATAGTTGGCGTATTTGTGCCCTTCAAATGTCATTTTGAAATTTGATCCCCAATATTGGAGGTGGGGCCTAGAGGGAGAAATTTGATCATGGGGGGGCAGATCCCTCATGAGTGGCTTGGTGCTCTCCTCGAGATAATGAGTGAGTACCCCATCTGAGTTTACCAGAACTGGTTGTTTGAAAGAGCATGACACCTCCCACCTCTGTGTCTCACTCCTGCTCTCACCATGTGATGTGCTGGCTACCCCTTAGTCTTATACCCTGAGTAGAAGTGTACTAAGGTCCTCAACAGCAGCATTTGTTTGTGCCATGCTTGACAGCCTGCAGAACTGTGATCCAATTAAACGTCTTTTCTTTATGAATTACCTAGTCTCAGATAGTTCCTTTATAGCAATGTAAAAACAGCCTAACACAATGACCATGTTCTCCCTATCTTCACATCATTTTTCCTCTGTATGTCTCAGGGTCCAAATATTCTCTTTTTATAAAGACTGTCATGTTGAATTTGGGTCACCTTAATGATGTCATTTTAATTTAATTACTTCTTTAAAGATCCTGTCTCCAAATATGGCCACATCCTGAGGTCCTGGGGGTTAGGATTTCAACATAGAAATTTGGTGGAAGGATGGGGCAAAAAGACAAAATTCAGTCCATAACACAAGATATATCAGCAGCCCTGACTGTCTAGTTCAATGTTTTATCTGTGTTACTATGGTACAGATAGATAACTTTATATCCTAAAATCTATATACACATCAGAGTTTACCTGGCCCTCAGAGAGAAGCATGTACATTCTAAGAGTTTAGAGTGAAATCCTGGAATCCTTCCCATTCTGTCTCCAAGGGGTGAAAATTTTGTCTCTTTTTAAGAAGAGGAAGGTCAACAGCCATTTTTTCCTATATATAAGCAGAGGCAATCCCTTTTGTTCCATCCCTCTCTCATGGAAATTCTGGTCACTCATGTAGAAAACGTTCTCATCTGGCTTTCATCGTAACACCCCAGGGTGAGCACTGGGAAAAGGGAACACAGTTATCTTTATGTGAATAATCTCTCACTTATAAATAATAATGTATATGTTGTTGACACAATTATTAAAGATGAATAGTAAAAACACAAATTGAGTATCTTTTCACACACGAATTAACCATTTAGAATCCTAATTTTGAAAGTGCCTGCCAAGTATTTTGCTCAATTTTCTATTAGGTTCAAGTCAATTTCAACTATAGGTTTTAGTTATGAAGTTAGGAATTTAATAAAAAGAGGGGAATTCATGGGAAAGAGAACAAAGGAGATAGGAACATAAAGGAAAGAATCCCTCTGTGAATTATTTTTTTCAAGTTCCATGTTTATTAAAAGATGTCAGTAACAGCTAGTGACTCTTTCTTGTTTATGAATTTTGGAAAAGAATGATAATTTGAAAGTTTAAAGCTATTATTGGAAAGTTCTGTTCTTTTTATAGACAACCAGTTATTTTCCATACAATTAGAGAATAACTGATGTTTTTGATTATCAATGAATTGAAAGTCATAAAAGGCAGTGAATGGGGAATATTTCTGTGATGCTAGAGATTAATTTGCAGTTTGTTTCTTACAAAGTCTCATTCTTTACATTTAGGATCCCTTATGGTGGATTAAATAAAGTTAGTCACGTCTTAAATCTGCTTTAAATCTGTTATTTGTAGTAGGAAGTCTTAAGACATTTTTTAAAGTACAAGTGCTTTTGTTATGTGAGATTCACTGTGCTGTTGCAATTTCATCTTTCTGAGGAGAAAATAAATAGTCCTGCTGTTTTTTTTTTTAGGACAGAGGCTGCAAATAAACTGAAGTGATGGTAATTCCCAAGACAGCAAGTATTTCAATAGTAAACTTTAACAGCATGATTGAAAAAGAGTGAACTGGCCCATTAAATTTGTTTTATTACTGTAAAATCTTTCACTCCAAAGAGAAGCAGTTGCTGCCATTCCCTGCACTGTGATGCAGTCTTATCTAAGTAATTGCCTCTTCCTCACTGGGCAGAATTATGAACTCAACTTTTATTGCATAGAGCTACTTAGGGCAAAAATCAGCTAGACAGTTGACACTGTTCAAATAATGCATCTGGTGATCCTTTTCCTGCTGTGTACTATATGATTATCTTCTGTAAACTGCATTCAACTTTATTACTTTATTTGGGAATTTTGAAATTTTCAAATAATCCTATTATTTTGCCCATTTAAAAACAACTGGGCTCTCTGTTATTTTATAGTTAATTTGAACATTCTTTATATATTCATTTATAATTTTTTAGATACAAAAAGCATATATCCTTGTCTTATTGTCTTTTCTCTATTAATAGTGTTTGATAAATAAAATTTCTTAATTTTAATGAATTCTAATTTATAAATCTTTTAAAAGATGATTAGTACTTTTTGTATCTTGTAGAAGACATCTTTTCCTATCTTAAATTATAGAGTTTTTTCTAGAAGCATTTTTGTTTCATCTTTCATATTTAGGTAAATGATCCTGCTTAAATTAATTTTTGTGTTTGGTGTGAGGTAGAATTCAAGGTTTTTTTTTCTTTTCTGTTGATGCTTATATTGTTGTTTTTTTATATAGCTATCCAGTTAACCAACAACCACTCTTAGAGAAGTTTACCCTTTCAACTTTGATATGTTTAGCTTTCCTTGCACCATCAGTCTGCTAAAGAAAGCAAAATATTAGATGACCTGATAAGATATTAAACTTATTATGAACCCACTTACCAATATGAGTATTGTTAAAATTTTATTGTTTGTATTGGATTAGAATTACATAATTTTCAACTCTACAATAATTAGTTAAGCTGTATATTTTTTTTCACATTTTTTACACCTTTCCAATGAAAAACTTGTTAAAATAAAAGGTATTATTCATATTGGAAAAACTTATAATTGAGTTGGTACAGATATTTAACAATATTTAACAAGATGATTACAACATATTCAAACAAGTTTGACAACGCAGGTAGATTATTCATCTGTGCTATGGCTTGCAAGTGTCGCCCAGAATTTGTGCTGGAAATAATGCTCAAAGCAATAGTGTTAAGAGGTAAAACCTTTAAGAGGTGATTTGATCATGAAGGCTCTATTCTTATGAATACATTAATGCCCTTATTACAAAAGTCAGGTATAGCTGGAATCTGGCCTCCATTTTTATATTTATTTTTCTCTTTTATGCTCCTTTTCTCTTCTGCCTTCTGCCATGGGATGATGTAGCACAAAACCCCTTGCCAGAGATGGGCTAGCTGATCTTGGCCTTCCTGGCCTTCAGGACTATAAGAAATAAATCTCTGTTCATTACAAATTACTCAGTCTCAGATATTCTAATAAAGCCGCACAAAACAGGCTAAGGCAACATGCAAAACTGAAGAATAAAAACAAAATAAAATGACGGTTCAAAATTAGCTTTAATCTATCCTTAAAATAACACCATTATTAAAACCTATGAATGACTGATTAGAAAGTTTAGTGAAGTAGTATTAATGAACATGCATACTTGAATTGTAACAATACTCAACAATTCACACATTTTATCTGGAAGCAAGCTTGTATTTCTAATAAGATAAAATATTGTATTTCTTGAGTCAAAACAAACTCTCAAAATATTGCTAATTAGGAATAGGTCATTTTTCAATATTCTATTTAACTAGTTTTCTAATGTGTGGCCAGAAAGCCATTGGAGAATAAGAGTACATTCAGAAAAACCTCATCTACATAGAGTTATGTTATACTTTTATTCTCTAATATCACAGATATCTCTCTTATCTATTCAGTTCTTTAATCAATCAGCCAATATTGAGTAACCACTATATGCCAGGGACATTTATGATTCAATGTTTAAAATCTTCAAGAAAATAAACTTTTGACCCCTAAACAATTTTCACATTAAATTTTAAGTATTATTCTTCTTTTTCTCCTCCTCCTCTTCTTCCTTCTTCCTCTTTTTCTCCTAGTTATGGATATTTTTGTTGTTTGTTTATAAAGTAAATCTTATATTCTAAGGACATTTTCTCTTTTTTTTAACTTTTAAGTTCGTGGGTACAAGTGCAGGTTTGTTTTACAGGTAAACTCATGTCATGGGGGGTTGTTTTACAGATTATTTTATCACCCAGGTATTAAGCCTAGTACCTACTAGTTATTTTTTTCTTGATCCTCTCTCTCCTCCCAACTTCCACCCTCAGTTGGGTCCTAGTATTTGTTGTTCCCTCTATGTTTTCATCATTTGGCTCCCATTTATAAGTGAGAACATGTGGTATTTGGTATTCTGTTCCTCCATTAGTTTGCTAAGGATAACAGCCTCCAGCTCCATCCATGTTTCTCCAAAGGATGCAGCCTTTTTTTTTATAGCTGCATAGAATTTCATGCTGTATATGTACTACATTTTCTTTATGCAGTCTACCACTGATGTGCATTTAGGTTGATTCCATCTCTTTGCTCCTGTCAATACTACTGCAGTGAACACATGCGTTCATGTGTCTTTATGACAGAATGACTCATATTATTTTGGGTATATACCAAATAATGGGATTTCTGGGTTGAATGGTAGTTCTGTTTTTAGGTCTTTGAGGAATCACCACACTGTTTTCCACAATGATTGAACTAATTTACACACCCACCAACAGTGCATAATTGTACTTTTTTCTCTGCAACTTTACCAGCAACTGTTATTTTTTGACTTTTTAATAATAGCCTTTCCGACTGGTGTGAGATGGTATCTCTTTGTGGTTCTGAATTGCATGTCTCTAATAATCATTGATGTTGAACTTTTTTCCATATATTTGTTGGCAGCATGTATGTCTTCTTTTCAAAAGTGTCCGTTCATGTCCTTTGCTCACTTTTTAACGGGGTGGTTTATCTTTCTTGTAAATTTGTTTAAGTTCCGTATAGATGCTGGACATTAGACCTTTGTCACGTGCATAGTTTACAAAAATTCTAAGGACGTTTTCAAGAGAAATAAGATGTCTTATTAAATCCCCACAATAGATCTAATAAACAAATGTGAAAATTCAGAGGAAAGTTTAAAAATTTAACTAAGAGATTACACTAGTGAAATTGAAATAAGCAAATGAGTTTATTTGACTATAGTGTACTGCACTATAACCTTTCAAACATATTTAAGTGAATGAAATAATTAGGAAGTGAAATAATGAAATGATTAGGAAGTAAGAACCTCATTTTCTTAGATTATATTATCATAGGTTTCTTTTCTTGTTCAAAATTTTCACACTATAGACTATTTTTAAATAAACCAGCTGTAATCTCAAAGAAGATTGAGATGGACCACACCAAACTGCTGAGTAAAGTGTCTTACACATTAATAAATGAGCAGCTAAATAGTAATAACACTAATGTTAATAATAGTTGAGAACTTACCATATGTCAGGCAGTTTGATATTCATCTAACAAACTTTCATAACTCTATAATGTAGATGACATTGTTATCCTTGTTTTACAGATGAAGAACCTGCGACATAAAGTGTTTAACGACCTCCCCAAGATCACAAAGCTACTAAGTGACACAGCAGGATTCTGATTCAGGCAGTTTGGATCCTGAGTCCACACTTATAACTCAAACAGCCTGTTGGCTCTCTAAAACATGCCTATAATATATATTTAATATATGTTTCTTTATATGACCTTACCCTTTGCAACCTAGATTTCAGAAACATATAGTTTATTTAGGATTTATCTTATTGTATTATAAATTAAGCCAATCACCATTTTTGGTTGAATATTTTACTTCAGATGGCCAATAAAAAATGTGACTCACCCTGACTTTGCTTCCAGTAATATGATCACAAATGCCTAACAGGAAAGCAATCGATATAACATTATTTCTGTTTTAACCGTTATAAAATGATATTCATGGAAGAGAAAAAAGTGCAGAAGATAATATATGTCAGAGCTATGACCAAATCTAAGATGTTCTGAGTGCTAGAATCACCACCTCCTACAACAACACTTTTTGCAGAGAACGCTATGAATCTTTTATGTTAGCTAGGCAAAATTGCTATTTTCCCCAAGGAAGTGGTGCCTATGGCAAGGCAGGTGCACTTTCTCTAACATGTACCATGAAATGGCATCTGATTAACTCATTTTTGTTCTGCAGTCTCAGCTGTTGCATGTAAATACCAATTATGCAAAGATTTGAAATGAAATGGATGTCCTTTCCAATGGCCCCATTTGGTAATTCCCAACTCTATAAAGATAATGTTTTATAGATATTCATCTGTGCAGATGTCTAAGGTGGAGGTCATAAACTCTAAAATTATTGACATTCTGTTTGCAAAGCAAAGGTCTGTTAAATCTGTTCAAGGAGGGCATCATTTTGAATGTTCCCATTGACAAATGCATGTAGTAACATTTGAGGCATTTATTCTACTGCCATTTTTGAAAACTAAAAGGGAAAGGACTGACAAGCATGTGCCATATTCCTAGAAATTATGCACATATCCATTTCATTATTCTGGTTAATTTCACGTTTCTTAAAAACCAAATTATATTTGAAATAGAGACATGTTGAATAAATTAGACAACTATGATGTAAATATTAGCAAATTAAAGCAGATAGCCATAAAACAATAGGGGAATTTTGAATCATATAAATGAAAGCATTGAAAGGATTTTCTAGAGTACCAAGCAAAGTTTGCTGAATAAGCATATAGAAGTAAGATGTGGTTCTTTATATGGTCTATTATATGTACCACTTCAGCTGAGCAAAAACAAACAAAAATGTGTTCTTTTTTCTCTTTTTGGACAATTTCTACCGTTAAGAAGAATTTCATTGCAATTCATACGTAAGTAACACTAATTTAAATAAAGCATGATTACATAAATCTATTGTAAATTACCAAATCACAGAAAAATGTTTGGACTCACTGAAAATTAAAGGTAAGGAGTACTGCTTAAACCATCTTTACTAACAGAGGTATACTTTGAAATCTAGTTTAATGCAAGTATATACTTAAGAAAATTTTATACAGACTTTTTGAGGGAAATCAAAATGAACCCAGACAGCAGGAAACACAAAGTTATCTTCTTCTTTCAGGCAATTACAGAATCCACATGAAAGAATTTTAGCCATGTAACATAGATTACATTTTTATAAATAAGTTAATTGGCATATTTCACCATTCTTGTTTTCAATCCCATAAGGACAGAGAATACTACCCCATTTTTTCATGCCAATGACAATATTAGTAGTTTTTCTAAAATTGTGTAACACATGCTTTCAAAGCCTGGCTTTAAAATAATTTTTATAATCTGAAAATTCTTAATTAATATGGATCATATATCCTCCACCTGCCTATATCCTATATAGTAGAGAAGGTATTTACCTGCTGACATATATAAACTAGAGGCAATTTCCATATTCACATAAAGATCAAAATATCATTAGCAAAAACTCAGGAAAAGTGATTTTTAACATATTTATCTAATTATAGATGAAAAATATTCCTTTTACCTAATTATTCTTCCCCTCTTGAAAAAATTACAGGGTTTTGAAAGTGGATGTAGACTCAGGATTAGTATCCTTGGATGTTACAGATACCCTGTCTGCTCCCAAATCCATAATGGACTTTGCACAAGTCAAATGATATTTATAAAAATGATTCTCTTGTTGGGTTCCATAACTTAAAACAGGTCAGCACAGCCAAGTGGGTACACTTATCTAAAGATCTTTGCCCATTACTTGATCAAAAGAGAGATTTCAACATAGGCCACTGAACACCATTTCAGAATGCAAAAGGTAATCTCCCTATTTCATTAAACATACTTGGTTTTAGGAATTTTAAATTTATATAGCTGTAGAATAAGAAAATTTCCTCCATCCTGAGTGCCCTCATATGCTACAAAACATTATGTCACCTGGGCTACATAAGAATCCATTTCATGTTTTCTGACTTCAATTCTGAAGACATCTTGACATGTTCCACAGACCAGGACTCATCCATCATGGTGAAATGAAAAAAATGAATCAAGAAAATGTGTTGTTTTACCCTTTGAATGAAGCAGTGGTGATATTTAGGATGGAAGTCAGGCTTCAGAGAGAGAAAAAAATGTGCTCCTTGTATTTCTGCAAGGATCATTTGCATTTCTATATGGATGTGCATTTAAATGAAGCTTTTTTCATATAATGCAAATTTTGGTAATACATTTATTTCCTCAGCTGTTCCTTTTGAATTTTTAAAAAAGAATTTGACCAGGTAGAGCTCACCTATTTCCATTCAATTTATAAAACAAACAGAAAGAGAGTTCCATTATATATGAAAAGTTTCACATGCAAAAATTACAAATGAATGGTAGATTTTAAAGTTACACAATACCATACAAACTAAATAGATAAGACTCAGAGTCTAGATGGAGAACTTATTCTAATCTCAGCCCTTTTTTTCCTAGCTTTGGCTGAGTCACTTAACATTGCTAAGAATGAGGTATGTCATCTAGACAACAAAGGAATAAACCTCATACAAAGTTTCATTCTAGCTTTTTTATTTCTTACACTATTCTCAATATGTAAGATTACTAGTCCTTCAAGATATTCCTCCTCCAATCAGTTTCATAATCAAATTCATTTGAGAATTGTCACATTTCTTCATTCTAAGTACGTTTACATAGGACTAGAAGGAGTCAGAAAACATGTATTGTCAAGAAGACAGGCATTAATATGGTAATTATTCATGCCAAAAATAGCAACTATAATATGGCATACAATTAAAGGAACTTGATAATATAAGGATTTGAATAAGATGGTTTGATCTAACCTGGGAAGTCTACGAAGTCTTCCTTCAGAAAGTGACAACTGAAATGAGATCTGATAAATGTGTAGGATTTACCTTTAAGGAGACAGAAAGGCAATAAAAAATACATAAATGTCTTTTAACAGTAGAGAAGATAGCACTGTATACAAAACTTTTTAAAAAATTTATTCCTTAAGTGAAGGAAACCTGCCAAATAGAAGTATGTAAGATCAGCCTGTGTAAAGCCTTACAGGCCAATTTTAAAATGTGTCTTTAGCTAAGAAAGGAAGTCATTCAGGAGATTTCAAAATTGAATATTTGTGCTTCAAAAATATTAATACATTAGGTGCTAAGGAAATATTGGAATGAAACCAGGGCTTTTGTGAATAAATCAGTTTGAATATTTCTACAAAGGTTATACTAATAATAGTTTTTGATTGTCTCAGAGTAATAATGGTAGAAATTGAGTAGCGGAGATGCCTTTGTGAGATACTCAAATAATGAATTAACAATGGAGATTGGGGGAAGAAAGTGGCAAGCTCTAAGGTCTAAGCCTTCCAAACGTAGGTAGAAATGGTGAAGAGTGTTGAAATAAGAGAACCGGAAAAATGCAAGAAGGACAGAAGATTATGAAGTTAGTTTTTGATATATTGAATTTAAGTTCATTTGGAACTTCCAAAAATATATACATGTTAGAAAACTCAAATAAGAAATCTGGCTTGGTTGCATTAAAATTAGAATTTAGCCTTTTTTGTAAGTAGCAATTGACATTTGCCAGGATAATGTTACATTAATTAGTACACATAAATGGTATCTATTAAATATTTTCTAAATTAATAGAGGACTAAGGTATTAGTATAAACATGATTATAAAAGAATTCACTTAGAACAAAACATGGTAACCGTTTGCAGTATCAGAAGAAACATAATCTCTCTCTCTTTCACACACACACACACACACACACACACACACACATACACACACGCATAAACACACAGAGAGAGAAAAGGGAAACAGATTATACATTAGGAGTCTTATTTAAAATACATAATTCAAAACAAAGGAAAAAACCTGTCATTCACTCCATTAACATAATATTTCAGAGTGAATTACCAAGCAAACTCCCACTCTATACCACATGCAAAAAAAAAAAAAAACGGATAAATTCAGAAGTTAAATATAAGAGGATGGACAGATGTATAGCAAGAAAGAAAGGAAGGCAGGTAGAAAGAACATGATCATAGAATCAAAGAAAGTAAATTTCAGTCAAAAAAAACATTAAAAAAGTAAGAAAGAACAATTTACAATGCTAAAGAGTATCATTCAAAAGTAAATTTAATTATTATTAATATGTATGCACCAAACACATAGAAGCACATTCATAAAACAGTACTTAAAGAAGATACAAAGAGAAGGGGATTTAAAGTGCTAGCAGTCGGAGATCTTTACTCACCTAATGCTACAAGAGTCTTAGATAAAATAAGATAAATAAGAAAAAGCTACTGATGTAGAAGAAATAAATACCATAATACATTATTTAAACTAGGTCATATATGTATGTATAAGTGTATGTATATAAATATATAAATAAAAATATGTCTATGTGTATTTATATACACATATAACATTCAACATAGGTAAAGAAAATGCAAATGACTTCACAGAACACAGAATGTATATTAAGCACAAAGGTAATTCAATAATGTAGAAAAAATTGCAGGTACAATCTGCATCTTCTCATCTGAACATATTGAAATGGGAGAAGTTCCCTTATTGCCTTTTCAGGGTGTGAGATGGGGGTGTGGCTCACTTCTTTGGTGTCCCAATGCTCAAACCACTGGGGAACATGATGACGGGCAGATGGTGGGGAGTGTGGGCACTGACCCCATGGCAGCATGTAGGGTTGAGTGTTTACAGCTCCTGAACCCCCAGTGGGCATGTGTTACAATGCTCCCTTTTAGCTTAGCTTTCCAACAGCAGCTTGTGTTAATTAGCTCAGTTAGACTTAGACCCTCTGCCTTATCACAAGGACAGAAGGCTTTCTGTATTCTAGGTTCTTGCGTTGGTGTACCAGAGAAACAGATCACACATGGGCTTGAAGAATGAATGCAAGGTTTTACTGAGTGGAGGTAGCTCTCAGCAGATGGATGGGGAGCCAGCAGGGGGATGGAGTAGGAAGGTGATCTTGCCCTGGAGACTCTCCTCTGACGGGCTCCAGCCAAATTCCACGTCATCTGTGTCATTCTGCCATCGATGGCCTGCCAGAGTCTGTTGGTGTGTTCCTCTGCCACTGTGTTCCTCTCGACGTCCAGCCATTTGTGTGTCGGCCTGCTAGGGTCTCAGGGTTTTTATAGGCACCACAGAATGGGGGATGTGTTGGGCCAGGGTGGTCTTGGAAAATGCAACATTCGGGCATGAAAACAGGAGTGCCTATCCTCACCTAGGTCCGTGGGCACAGGCCTGAGGACAAAACCCTGGCCAAGGGCCCCACCTTTCTCTAACCAGCACTTCCCTGCCTGTATCAATATCAATATATAATTAGCAATAATATCAGAAAGCAAAAGGATCCTCTCCCCTGGAAACTCAAAAACTATTTTTAAAATCTCCTGAGACAAATAAAATACAAGTAAAACTTTTAGGTTATCTAGAAAATAATGATAACTTTTTTATTTTTTTCAGATAGTTTTTTGTTTATTTGTTTGCTTAAACAACAGAAATTTATTTTCTCACAGTTCTGGAAGCTAAAAGTCCAGTAACAAGGCAGTGGCAGAGCGGATTCCTCTGAGGCCTCTCTCCTTGGCTTGCAGATGGCTGCCCTCTTGCTGCCTCTTCACATGGCCATCCCTCTGTACACTTGCACCACTGGTGTCTCTTCTTATAAGGACACCATTCATGTTGGATATATTGGATATATTGAATCATTTTGTTTTGTTTTTTCTCCATATGCTTGTAGTCTCAGCTGAAAATGTCTGAATAGCAAAGAATACACAAACAGCTCAAAGCTAGAATCATCCAGAGGCTTCTTCATGCACATGTCTGGTGCCTAGGCAGGGATGACTTGAAGGCTGGGGTGCAGCTGGGACTTTAACAAAAGTGATTTGTGTAGTCTCTCCACGTGATTTGGGCTTATTCAAGCATGGACCCTGGGTGAATCTGGATGTATTAGGTGGTAGGCTAAAACTCCAAGAGCAGGTGTTGCAGCCCCATAGGAGAAGCTGCATGACCTTTTATGACCTAGTCTTGGAAATTACATACCATCACTTCCACTAATCTCTATTTGTCAACACAGTCACAGCTCACCCAGATTTAAGTGGAAGGGACATATACACCACCTTTCAATAGAAGAATATCAAATAACCTACGGCCATGCTTTAAAACCACCATAGTCAGGCACTCTAACCAATAAAGGTCTAATAGTAAAGCTAGAAAATGTTCCTCAAAAAGAGAATAAGTTCTTGCTGGAAGTAACAGCTTTTCTCCAAGAACACAATCAAGGCCTCTCCAAGAACACAGGAGGCCTGTTCCAGGGTCTTAAATAGCCTGAATTCAGCACCCTGATTAACCACAGATCAGACACAATGCATCACTGATCCACCACGAAGTGGCAGAACTGGTAGGACCTCCTGGAGAGTTTCGTCAGCTGTGGTACTCCCTCAAAGCTGACAGCTTTATGAATTATACTTGGTTCTTGATTAATTTCAAAAGAACAAATTTCACTTCTGATACATATAGTCACTTTATATCTGAAAGAAAGATATCTGAAAAAATATCTGAAAGTCACTTATTCTGAAATAAATAGAACCATTATTCATTTCAGAAAAAAAATTATTGTGAAAACAACCACTATCTCAATATTCTTGCCAACTGACAACATATTAGTTGATGAAACATCTAGAATTTCGAGATTGATATGTCAAATAATATACTTAGGTCTGGCTACCAAACTACTTCACTCTTTAAACTGAATTATTTATTCTATTTTTTTTTTTTTAACAAACCTGCACATTGTGCACATGTACCCTAGAACTTAAAGTATAAAAATAAAAGAGAAAATAATGATAAAGCTTTTCACTAAATAAAATTATATTATTGTCTATTAAAATAAATTTATTTTATTACAGTTTGGAACTGATATAATGCAGGTGAAACAATGCCTGCAGAAAAATTTGTAGTTTAAAATGCTTATGCTAATGACAAATATTCAGTCAATAAATAGTTAAAGCATTCATCTCACAAAGTTACCAGGAGACAAAGTATCCTAAATAAAAGAAGGAGCAAATTAATATAATAAAAGCAGAGACCAACAGGTAAGAAAGATTTAAAAATAGATTTAATAAAGATTGCTAAAAATTATACCTTTCAAACCTATAAAAACAACAGATAAATTAGTAGCTGTTATAACTATTGAAAAAAAAAAGACTACAAATGCTTAAAATGTTGAGGAAATAAATAACTACAGAAAAAGTAAAATAAATTTGCTCAGTTCTTTGCTAACATATTTTAAGCTTTCATGAAGTGGATAATGCTCAGAAAAATATGATTTACCAAAATTTGCACCAGGAAAGATATGTAATCTAATCACTTGACTTCCAAATAGATAATATAGAAATTATTCCAAGAGTTGCATCCCAGAAAAGCACAATCTCCAACTGTTTTCCCAGTACCCAAATCAAATCATTAAGGGGCAGGTTATTCTAATGTTTTCTAAGTAATGTCAGAACTTAACTTATAATTTAATTGTCCAATTTTATGAAGCAAATATAACATTGATATTAACATGTGTCTAAAATTATATAACAAAATAAAATTACAAAGAAGCTTCACTTAAAGCCTTCAGTGAAAAAATCCTAAATCTAATGTTAACATCAGCAACCATAAACACATTAGAAGAAAAACACATCATGAGAAAGAGGGGCACAAAGTAGAGAACAACCCTGGAAAAGGTATTACTTAACATTTGTTAAATTCTCTTTGCCAGACTGTGTAGAAATAAGCACTTTTTTACTAATGTTTGATATAATTCCGTATGGTTGACAATTTGGTAATATCTATCAGAATTATGAATGCAATAATTTTATATTCAGAAATTCTACTTTGGTAAAATTATCCCTAATGTATACTAACACATGTGGAGTGATTTATGAACAAGGTGGCTGCACTTTTATAGTAATAACGCACTGGGAAAAAACTTAAACATCTATCAATATAGGATAGATTCAATAAATTGTTATATCCAAAGAAGAAAATATTGATCTATAAGAACAAAATGTCTATTTCTGTACAGATAAGGGAATAACTTGAAAGTATTTTTGTTTGCTTAGTCGAACATCAGTTGTCTGTATTTGGGTTTATTTCTGGGTTCTCTATTCTGTTCCATTGGTCTATTTGCCTATTCTTATACCAGTACCATGCTGTTTTGATGACCATGGCCTTATAGTATAGTTTGAAGTCAGGTAATGTGATGCCTCATATTTCTTCTTTTTGCTTAGTCTTGCTTTGGCTATGTGGGCTATTTTTTCGTTCCGTATTAATTTTACAATTGTCTTTTCTAGTTCTGTGAAGAATGATGGTGGTATTTTGATGGAAATTGTATCAAATTTGTAGATTGCTTTTGGCAGTATGGTCATTTTCACAATATTGTTATACCCATCCATGAGCATGGGATGTACTTCCATTTGTTTGTGTCATCTATGATTTCTTTTAGCAGTGTTTTGTAGTTCTCCTTGTAGACGTCTTTCACCTACTTGGTTAGGTATATCCCTAAGTTTTTTTTTTTTTTTTGGCTGCTATCGTAAAAGGGTTTGAGTTCTTGAATTGATTCTCAGCTTGATTTCTGTTGCTGTGTAGCAGAACTACTGATTTGTGTATATTTATTTTGTATCCTGACACAACATCACATGTACTCACTCATAAGTGGGAGCTAAGCTATAAGGATGTAAATTCATAAGAATGATAAAATGGAATTTGGGGACTTAGGGGAAAGGGTGGGAGGGTGGTGAGGGATAAAAGACTACAAATTAGGTACTGTTTATACTGCTTATTGAAGGGCACAAAAAAATCTCTCAGATCACCACTAAAGAACTGACTCGTGTAATCAAACACCATTTGTTCCCCCAAAAACCTATGGAAATGAAAATATATTAAAATAAATAACTTGATTTTTGAAAAATAACATAAGCAGCCAACAATATTATACACTGCTGGGAATCCAAGTAAACTGTATAATGAGAAGTGTGAAATATTTTCATTGTCACTGATACATTGGTGACATATGTGAATGCATATATCAGAGTTTGAGAAGTCCTGCAGTATTAAAATCCATACAAAAAGTTTTATTCATAGTTTTTCATATTTACTTGATTGTTTGTTCCTTCTCAAATAGCACATATTCAGTGAAAATAGAATTAGCATTCAGTAAAATGCATTTTTGAAACATAAAATTGTAAAAATTGTTCCATAAAATTAAAGGAAAATACCAAATTTCTGAGTACTATATCAGGCACTGAAAATTACCGCCTTAAACATTTCATAATCTGCTAGACATGTAGGGCATGTGTCTCTAACCATTCACTTATAAATGCTTTCATGAAACTTACATATAATTTTAGAACCACTGCAAACAATGGTTTGCAATAGAGTAAGATAAAAGACTTCTGGATATGGGTGAGCTTGAAATTACTTCCTGCTGAACTAGGACCATTAGTCCTTTGAATGACCTATATTTTTAATTTGGCATGAAACCATTTCAAGCTATGTAGTGAAACTAATGAGGCTGCTACAACTGTGCAAAGCAATAATCAACATTACTTTATTGTGGGGAGTTTATTAAGTCCATGCATGAGGTGAACTAAGACAGCTTTTCTTTAAGAAAGGAGACATGTGTTTATGTTGTTTTTCTGAATAAAAATAAATATTCCAAAGTGTAAGATGCCTGGAAGAAGTTCAAGATCATTAGTTATTTTAAGACAAATGTGCAGCTCAGAGTATCACTCAGTGCAATGATTACAGAGACAGTTTTAGTGTTTCTTGGAATGTTTCTTCAACTATTAAGGAAACAATGGCCCTGTGAGAAAACTAACGATGTTAAAAGACTAAAGCAGCTTCCCTGGCTTTGGCTTTGGATTGGGTAAAAACATGCACTTTATATAAGCACTTTTCTCCAGCCAAAAGAGCCTTCTTAATAAAGGGATGTGTTTTTTTCTATAACAATTATGATCAATGACAGTAAATCTAAATATGTTACCCTAAAACATACAAAAATCACCCTAATAGCTAAACATGAGCTCAGGTTCATCCAAGTGCTGTGGTATGACAGGAAAAACAACAACAAGAAAAATAAATAAGAGAATAATCCTGATTAATCTCATTTTTAAAATATATGTTCTTTTTTCATTATGTAAACAAAATCAAATTAAATGCTTCTTCTTGCCACTTCATTGAATATTGATATTTCTTATACACAAAGATGATCAGCCATACATGCTTTCTTTCATTCATTCAACATCCACCAGCCACCAAACCATTCACTGATTTCTCCAACAAATACTGAATGTAATGTGGCCTCAGTGCTGGGAATGCTTATACAGCTAAGCCACAGCTCATGTAAGGAGCTCACAGCCTGATGCAGGAGGAAGCATATTCCTACTACTAGGCAACCTTACCTTAGGAGCAGTAGTGGAAGTGGTGTGTCTAACTCAAATGGGGGACATGGGAGGGCATCTTGCAGTATTGACACTGAACAAACCCTTGAAGATTAACTGAGAGTCAGCCAGGTTAAAAGGGCAGGTAAAGCTCTGCCAAGGCCAAGGGCAAAGGCACAGAGGAAGAAAGTGTCAGATGCATACAGGAAATGAGAAGGATCCCATTGTTAGGATCAAGGCAATGTCAAGACTTGAGGGTAAAGCGGCAGAAAGAGATAAACAAAAAGTGTATTTGAATTTAATAGTTTTAGAAATAACTATGCAATTATAGAGATCCTCAAAGTAAATGATGTGGAAAGTAACAAAAATGTCCTGAAAAATGTCTTTAAAGCATAGCATTTGAAGCACTTTGAGTCATACCTGATGTTTAAATTTGTATATAACTGTTAGTCTCAATCATTGAAGATGTAGTGTCTCCTGTCTCTTTTATTAGGTTAAATGATGCTTTAAAAATCACAATTTAAAACTTATGAGTAAAATGATACTGGCTGATAAAAATAAGTACTGTATCTTGTATGACTAAGAAAAGTCTTGGATAATCAGATTTGAAAGGGCAAGTAGCACCACATCTGGAAGGTTGTTTCCATTATTTAGTTTTGCATGAAGGGCATAAAATTGATTTAATCAGTTGTTTTTTGTCACATAGAAATAATGGTCTTTGACTAAGAGAATTAGAACATTATAATGCTTAGCTTCATGTATCTCCATGGATACATCTTTCTTGGTCATATACTATATATTTCATAGGTCTAATTATTTACAGAAAATTTTACATACGTATATAGAAAATTTTATATATGTATATATAAGATTTGCCTCACAGTCAAGTACTGACATTTATTGACATTTATACTAAATTATTATTTAATTGTACTAAACCCCTAACCTATACTATTTAAAGCACTGAGCGACTAGGTCACACAATTTTGAAGAAGATAACTTCATAATGTACTCTACATGTACACAGAAATGCTGGGCATCTCTACCCCACCTGTTATCTATAGACAATTCTATCAAGCTTGGTATCAATACTAAAGAATATTTAGAATCATAAAAAGAGTAGAAATGTAAAATAGAAACAAAAAGTTCTCAGAAATCCTGTAGTATGCAGCAAGTCAACAAGTCAATAAACAGCATGTAGGGATGTAGCAAACAAATTAATCAACCCAACAGCTTTAATGCACAGATTTATGGGTCACTCTAAGTACACCTTAGATAATTCACTTTCATTTGCCAACTATTATCTACAACTGCTAAGGTTTCCTAATTAAAAAGATGACCCTATAACTGTGTAATCTATATTCTATTATTTTCTCTATTTATTACAAAACCTATTTCTCTTAAACATGGTTCTGAACTTTTTTAAGCTTACAGTAATTTTTATTGTGGCAATTTTGAATATCTAGTGTATTTCAGGAACATTAGTTTTAAACTTAAATATCACCCTAAAGAAATCATCTTTCTAAATGTAGAGCCATAGTGGCATCATGACAAAGATAAATGATATAAACTGTAAATAAAAGTAAAAAATGGTTATTGATATTTACTGAAAATGGCATCTATTGTTTTCTTCAGCAAGATTTTTCATTTTTCTATATTTATAAGCTTCAGTTGATTAATATTTATATGTTTGTGCAAGGCCTAAATTGTAAGATTTTACTCCAGTGATTTATTTTTGGTAGCAGTTGAAAATTTGGGATAAGTAAAATATCCAGAGCTCTGCTGTTTGACACAGGAGCTACTAGACTCATGTGGCTACTGAGTACATGAAATAGAGTTGATCTAACTTACATGTCCTGTAAATGTAAAACATGCACTAGATTTCCTAAGTTAGTAAGAATAATAAATGGAAATTGACTTAGTGATTTTATGTTGAATACATAAGAATAATAATTTCACATACTGGTTTATAGAAATATATTAATTTTAACAATATATGCTTATTTTCACTTTTTCAATGTGACTACTATAAAGTTTTAAATCACATATGTAGTTCATATTTGTGTCTTGCCTTTATATTTCTATTGGACAGTGCTGATCCAGAGATTCATGGAAGACAATAAATTTTAGTAAAATTACTCTCAGAGTTTACGGGTTTGCAGTGGTGTCTAGAATGCATGTGACTCTTTGTTATGAGTAGGTAAAACACAAACGAACGACATTTCCTCTACTAAGAGTATACAATTTTTAAATGTTCCTCAGTTATTTTCATGAAATAAGATGGATTCAAATAAGGCATCTACTTGTTCATTCTCTTTGATTAACTCCTTTGACTAATTGTATAATTCTCCAGTTGTTATTTAAAAACTAGTCTACTTTATAAAGAAAAATAAAGTTAATCTTTCTTGGGTAGTCCGTCTTTTTCTCATGGGAAACACGAAAACTCCTTCTAGAGTACTATATCATTTTCACTTCACAGCCAGGAGTATATTTTATATGGAGCATTTTCCCCCAAAAGTTAAAGGATGCAACTTTCAATCTATTGAGAAGGACACTGATTTTGTTTATCTTTACAATTTATCTTGGGGATGGAGAAAGACAGCAGAATAGAAGGCTCTACTGATTATCCCCGCTACCCCCTTAAGGGACACCAAGTTAATAACTATCTACACAGGAAAAAAAAACACTTTCATAAGACCCAAAAGTCAGGTGAGGACTCATAGTACCTGATTGTAACTTCATATTGCTGAAAGAAGCATAGAAGAGATAAAATAACAGTCCCAAATCAGGGACGCCAACACTCCCCCACCCACCATAGCAGCAGAATGGTGAAGAGAGAGTCTCTGAGCACTGAGATAGGGAGAACACGGCCATTGTGAGGCACTGACCTCAGTGCTGTCCTGTTAGAGCAGAAAGGAAAACCAGACCAAACTCAGCTGTTGCCTGTCCACGGAGGGCGCATTTAAACCAGCCCTAGCCAGAGGGGAATCGCCAATCCCAGGGATCAGAATTTCTGTTCCCCAAAACCTCACCACAACAGGCTACAGCACTGCGTCTCCAAGTAAATATAAAAGGAAGTCTAAGCCATAAGAACTGCAACTCTTGGATGAGTCCTAGTGCTGAATTAGGCCCAGAGACAGTGGACTTGGGGATGGTGGTGTGGCACTTGTGACATATTGTGACACCAGCTGGGGTAGCAAAGCAAGCGCTGGCATCACCCCTCCCCTAACCCCAGGCTGCATAGCTCATGGCTTCAAAACAAGGTGCCTTCCTTCTGCTTCAGGAGAGGAGAGGGAAGACTGGGGAGAACTTTGTCTTGCATGTAGGATACCAGCCCAGCCACAGCAGGATAGGGCACCTGTCAGAGTCCATGAAGCCCCTATTCCAGACCCTAGATCTCCAATTCTAGATATACCCTGGGCCAGAAGGAAATCTGCTACCTTGAAAGAAAGGACCCAATCCTGGCAGCTTTCATCACCTGCTAACTGAAGAGCCACTGGGCCATGAATAACCAGCAGCAATACCTAGGTACTACATCAAGGACCTTGGTGAGCCTCTGAGACTTACTGGCTTCAGGTGAGACTCAATACATAAACAGCTATCATGGCTAGGAGGCAAAACTCCTTCTGTTTGAGAAAAGGAGAGGTAAAAGTAAAGGGGACTCTGTCATGCACTTTAGGAACCAGCACAGCCACAAAGGGGTACAACATCAAGCAGGCTCTTGAGGTCTCTGATTACAGGACTTGACTCTTGGAAGCCATTTCTGGACCTGCCCTGGGCCAGAGAGTAGCCCAATGCCCTGACGGGTGAGGCCAAGGCCAAGCAGTATTCACCAGAAGCTGACTTAAAAGACCTTGGGATTTAAGGGAAGATCAGTTGTAGTCTGGCAGTATTCCTCTTGACCTGACAAGTTGATGGCTATGGGGTAAGGCTCCTTTGCCTTTGGAAAGGGGAGGGAAAAGTGGGAAATACTGTGTTGTGTGGTTTGAGTGCCAGCTCAGCCAGAATATATCAGAACACCAGATTGACTTCTAAGGTTTTTGACTTTAGTCCCTGACTCCCAGATAGCACTTCTGGACCCAGCTAGGGCTTTGGGGACCTTGCCACCCTAAAGGGAATGACACAGGTCTGGCTGGCTTTTGCCACCTGCTGATTGTAGAGCCCCAAGGCCTTCAGCAACTATAGACAGTAGCCAGGGAGTGGCTATAGCAGGCCTTGGGTGAGACCCAGTGCTAATCTGGCTTCAGATCTGACTCAGTGAAGTTACAGTGGTGGTGGCCACAGGGCCACTTGTGTCACTCCACCCTCATATTTAGGTGGCTCAGAATGGAGAAAGAGAGTCTATATCTTTGTTAGAAAGTAACAGAAGGGTACAAGAGACTGCCTGATAATCCAGAAAACTCTCTCAAATCTTGTCCAAGATCATCAAGGTTAGGTATCTTTATGAATTTGCAAGAACCACAGTGTTACTGGGCTTGGGGTGCCCGCTAAAGCAGATACACCTTAGATTACAACACCCAACTCCGTTCAAATATCTGAAAAGCCTTCCCAAAAAGAAAGGCTACAAATAAGCCTAGACAGTGAAGACTGCAATAAATACCAAGCTCTTTAATGCCCAGACACCAAAAGACATCTACTAGCATCAACACCATCTAGGAAAACATTACCTGGCCAAATAAAATAAGCTACCAGGGAACAATTCTGAAGACACAGAGATAAGTGACTTTTTAGAGAAAGAATTCAAAATAGCTATGGTGATGAAACAGAAATAAATTCAAGATAACACAGAAAAGGAATTCAGCGTTCTATTGGATATATTAACAAAAAGATTAAAATACAAAGAATCAAGTAGAAATTTTGGAGCTGAAAAATGCAACTGGCATACTAAAAATGTGTAAGAGTCCTTTAACAGCAGAGTAAATCAAGCAGAAGACTGAATGAGTGAGCTTGAAGACAGGCTATGTGAAAATACACAGTCAGAGGAGAAAAAAAGATTTTCTAAAAATGAAGCACACCTGCAGGATCTAGAAAATAGTCTCAAAAAGGCAAATCAAAAAGTTATTGAGTTTAAAGATGAGGTAGAGAAATAGGGGTAGAAAGTTTATTCAAAAAATAATAACACAGAACTTCCCAAACCTAGAGAAAGATATCAATATCCAAGTATAAGAAGTTTAGAGAACACTAAGCAGATTTAACCCAAAGAATAATCAAATTCCCAAAGGTCCAGCCAAAGTTCCAGGATAAAGAAAGAATCCTAAAAGCAGCAAGAGAAAAGAAATAAATAACATGCAATGGAACTCCAATATGTCTGGCAGCAGGCTATTCAGTGGAAACCTTAAACACCAGGAGAGAGCCATTTGACATATTTAAAGATCAAAGGATAAAAAACACTTTCACCCCAGAATAGTTTATCTGGTGAAAATATCCTTCAAACATGAAGGAGAAATAAAGACTTTCCCAGACAACAAAAGCTGAGAGATTTCATCATTGCAAGACCTGTCCTATAAGAAATCCTAAAGGATTTCAATCAGAGATAAAAGGATATTAATGAGCAATAAATAATCACCTGAGGTTACAAAAGTCACTGGTAATAGTAAGAGCACAGAAAAGCACAGAATAATATAACACTGTAACTGTGTGGTGTGTAATCTACTCTTACCTTAAATAGAAAGATTAAAAAATTAACTACAACTACTTTTTAAGGCATAGTCAATACAACAAGATAAACAGAAATAACAAAATTTTAAAAGCAGGGAGACAAAATTAAGGCATAGAGTTTTTATTAGTTTTTTTTTTTTTGCTTGTTTGTGTGTTTATGCAAGTAGTTTTAAATTATTATTAGGTTGAAATAATGGGTCATAAGATAGTATTTGCAAGCCTCCTGGTAACCTCAAACCAAAAAACCTACAATGGGTACACAAAACATAAGAAGCAAGAAACTAAATCATATTACCAGAGATAATCACCTTCACTAGAGGAAAACAGGAAGGAAAAAACAATGAAGAGAAAACTACAAAAAGATCAGAAAATAAATGTAAAAAGGCAGTAGTAACTCTTTACTTATCAATAATAACACTGAAAGTAAATGGATTAAACTCTCCAATTAAAAGACATAGACTGGCTGGATAGATGAAAAAACAAAACTAATTGATCTGTTGCCTACAAGAAACACACTTCACCTATAAAGACACACACAGACTGAGAATAAAGGAATGGAAAAGGGAATTCCATGACAATGAAAACAAAAAAAGAGCAGGAGTTGCTATCCGTATATTGGACAAAATAGATTTCAAGACAAAGAAGATCACTATATAATGATAAAGGGGTCAATTCAGCAAGAGGATATAACAATTTTAAATATATATGCACCCAACACTGGAGCACCCAAATATATAAAGAAACTATTATTAGAACTAAAGAGAGAGATAGGCTTCTATACAATAATGGCTGGAGAGTTCAACACCTCACTTTCAACATTGAACAGATCTTCCAGACAGAAAATCAACAAAGAAACATCAGACTTAATCTACGCTATAAACCAAATGGATCTAATAGGTATTTACCAAACATTTCATCCAACCCTACAGACTATGCATTCTTTTCCTCAGTATATGAATCATTCTCAAGGATACACCATATGTTAGGTCACAAAACACATCTTAAAACATTCAAAAAATTATATGATATCAAGCATCTTCTCTGAATGCAATGGAATAAAACTAGAAATTAATAATGAAACTAAATTTGGAAATTATACAAATACTTGCAAAATAACAATATGATACTTAATTACCAGTGAGTCAATAAAGAAATTAAAAAGGAAATTGAAAATTTTCTTGAAACAAATGATGATGGAAACACAACATACCAGAACCAATCAGATACAGCAAAAACTGTACTCAGGGAATTTTATAACTATAAGTGCCTACATAAAAAAGAAAAACTTGAAATAAACAATCTAACAATGCATCTTAAAGAACTAGAAAAATAAGAGCAAACCAAACTCAATATTAGCAGAAAAAAATATAGATCAGAGCCAAAATAAATGAAATTGAAATGAAAATGCAAAAGAATAATAAAACAAAATTTGGTTTTTGAAAAGTTAAACAATACTGACAAACTTTTAGACAGACTACGAAAAAAGAGAAAGAAGTTCCAAATAAAATCAAAAATGAAAAAGGAGACATTACAACTGATACTGCAGAAGTTCAAAGGATAATTAGTGACTACTATGAGCAACTATAGGCCAATAGAAGAAATGAAAAAAATTCTAGAAACATACAACCTACCAAGATTGAGCCAGAAAGAAATCCAAAACATGAACAGGCTAATGACAAGTAATGAGATCAAAGCTGTAATAAAAACTGTCCTAGTAAAGAAAAGCCCAGGACCCAGTGACTTCACTGCTGAATTCTACCAAATGTTTAAAGAACTAATACCAATCATACTCAAAATTCTCAGAACAAATACAGGAGGAGGGAATACTTCCAAACGTATTCTACAAAGCCAGTATTACACTGATGCCAAAACCAGCCAAGGAGACATCAAAAAAAAGAAAACTGTTGGCCAATGTCTTTCATGAATATTGATGTAAAAATCCTCAGCAAAGTATTAGTAAACTGAATTTAACAATACAGTAGAGAGATTATTCATTATGACCTGGTAGAATTTATCTCTGGAATGCAAGGATAGTTCAACATATGCAAATCAATCAATGTGATGCATTTTATCAACAGAATGAAGAATAAAAACATGAAGGATCATTTCAATTGATGCTGAAAAATCATTTGATATCCCCTCATAATAAAAATCCTAAAAAACTGGAGATAGAAGGAACATATCCCAACATAATAAATATACAACATAATACATGACAGACCCACAGCTGGTATCATACTAAATGGGGAAAAACTGAAAGTCTTTCCTCTAGGATCTGGAACACTACAAGGATGTTGACTGTCACCACTGTTATTCCTCATAGTGCCAGAAATCTGAGCTAGAGCAATCAGACAAGAGAAAGGTATAAAGGATATCCAAATTGGAAAGAAAGATATCAAATTATCCACATTTGCTGATGATATGATCTTATACTTGGAAAAACCTGGACTCCAAAGAAAACTATTAGAACTGATAAACAAATTCAGTAAAGTTGCAGGACACAAAATTGGCATACAAAAATCAATAGCATTTCTATATGCCAACAGTGACAAATGTGAAAAATAAATAAAAAAGTAATCTCATTTACAATAGCCACACATAAAATTAAATACTTGAGAATTAACCAAAGGAGTGAAATTTCTCTCTAATGAAAACTAAAAAAAACACTGATGAAGGAGATTGAAGAGGACACCAAAAAATGAAAAAAATATATATTTATTGTTTATATACTGGAAGAATCAATATTGTTAAAGTATCCATACTGCTCAAAGCAACCTACAGATTCAAAGCAATACCTATTAAAACATCAATGTTTTCTTCACAGCAATAGAAAAAAAAATCCTAAAATTTATATGGAACCACAAAAGACCCAGAATAGCCAAAGCTATCCTATGTAAAAAGAACACAACTAGAGGAATCAAATTCCCTGACTTCACATTATAATGCAGAGCTATAGTAACCAAAACAGCATGGTACTGGCATAAAACAGACACATAGACCAGTGGAACAGAATAGAAAACCCAGAAACCAATTCACACACCTACAGTGAACTAATTTCTGATAAACATTCCAAGAACATACATTGGGGAAAAGATAGTCTCTTCAATAAATATTTCTGGGAAATTGGATATATATATGCAGAAGAATGAAACCAGACCTCTATCTCTTACCACATACAAAAATAAAATCAAAATGGATTAAAGACTTAAATCTAAGACCTCAAACTATAAAACTACTACAAGAAAACATTTGAGGATCTCTCCAGGACATTGGTCTGGACGAGGACTTCTTGAGCAATAAGCCACCAGCACAGACAGCCAAAGCAAAAATGGACAAATGGGATCACATCAAGTAAAGGATACAATAAAAAGTAAAGAGACAACCCACAGAATGGGAGAAAATTTTGCAAGGTGTCCATTTGATAAAGGACGAATAACCAGAATATATAAGGAGCTCAAACAATTCCATAGGAAAAAGATCTAATAATCCAATTCAAAATGGGCAAAAGATTTGAATAGACATTTCTTAAAAGAAGACATACCAATGGCAAATAGGCATATGAAAAGGTGCTCAACATCATTGAAAACTCACTGATCATCAGAGAAATGAAAACCAAAATTGCAATGAGATATCATCTCACCCCAGTTAAAATGGCTTATATCCAAAAAACAGGCAATAACAAATGTTGGTGAGGATGTGAAGAAAAAGAAACCCTTGTACACTGTTGCTGGGAATGTGAGTACAAACACTACGAATAACAGTTTGGAAGTTCCTCAAAAAGCTAAAACTTAAGCTACTATATGATCTGGTAATCTCACTGCTGGGTATATACCCAAAAGAAAGGAAATCAGTATATCAAAGAGATACCTGCACTCCTATGTTTGTTGCAGCACTGTTTACAATAGCTGAGATTTGGAAACAACCTAAGTGTTCATCAACAGATGAATGGATAAATAAAAATGTGGAAAATACACACAATGGAGTACTATTCAGCTATTGAAAAGAATGAGATCCAGTCATTTGCAACAACATGAATGGAACCTGAGATCATTATGTTAAGTAAAATAAGCCAGACACAGAAAGACAAATATCACATGTTCTCACTTATTTTGGAGATGTAAAAATCTAATCCTTTGAATTCATGTACACAGAGACTAGACGGATAGTTACCAAAGGCAGGGAAGGGTTGTTGGTGGGTGGGTAGGGGTAGGTGGGGATGGTTGATGGGTACAAAATATAGAAAGAAAAAATAAGACCTACTATTTGGCATCACAATAGAGTGACTATAGTCAGTAATAACTTAATTGTGTATTTTAAAATAACTTAAAGAATGTAATTGGATTGCTTGTAACTCAAAGGGTAAATTGTTGAGGGGATAGATACCCCATTCTCCATGATGTGCTTATTTCACATTGCATGCCTGTATCAAAACATCTCATACACCATATATATATAATATATATATATATATAATATATATATATATATACTATGTACCTACAGTTTTTAAAAATTAGTTTTAAAGATATAAAATTTATGTCTTTCAAATTTGCATAAAAAGCAGAATTCCTATAATTTTATTTTTAAAGATGAGAAATGTTACCTATACTAGCATCTTTTAGATGATGACCAAATAGACATGTTTACTTTCGTTATTCTAAATATAATTTCCAAATGTGCACCCTGTAAGAAAAACTGCAATGAGGGAGCTTGTAGTAGCTGCATGGATTTGAATAAAATTGAATACCCTTAAAAATTAGGAAGAAAATTCAGTTAGATGATAGTACTGCTTGTGTGTTGGAGGTAGGATGTGTCATTTGGACAGAAAACTTACTGGGGATAGGGGTGGGTTGCAGTTCACTCTAAAACTAACTTTAGGAACAGAACAGGAGATGCTTTCTAGAATCCTTTAGGAAAATATGCATGTCTTTGACAGGTTTGAAGGTAGGTGAGGATCACACTGAATAAGGAATCAAGAGATAATTCAAGAAAGTGAGGAAAAGAGAAAAGCTGTCATAGATGTGAGGACCAGGCTAAAGGGTATAAAGGGTCTTTGATAGAGACATTTTTAGGGGAGGTTTCCAAGTGCCCAGAGAGAAGAGTGAGCTACACTCAATTTGTTTAGGGTCAGGGAGGAACTCATTCTCAACTCCTGGTTCTCAGAGAGTTACATTTTCAAATAAATCACTAACATGAAACATTAACAAAAGCAAATTACAAGTAAAAGAAAGCAAACTCTACAAATATTGACAGAGTATAAATTTAAAGCAGCCTGCCACACCAGCACAAAACTCCTGGAAGATTTCAAAACCATCTGTATCCTATTTTTTGTCCAATTCCACTTTGTAACACTTATTCTTCTTCAAAATGTCCATTGATTTCAAGCACACCTTTAAACTTGTCCAATGTGCAAAAAATCATGTTTATCTTTGCCAAGTCCATTAACTATCTATATGGGCACATAATATAATAAATATAAACTTGAAGCCAGGAAAGAAATTGAAAAAGGCTTTTGGAACATTTAGTTCAGAACCCTAAAGTGAGAACCGGTGAAGAATTGCAGGACCTCAGAACAGCTTTCAGAAATCCAGTGAAATGTTTATATTCTTTACTGAGTTTCATTAGTAACTAAGAATATAAACTAAATAGTTTGGTTTCTGGTGCCATTTATCTTAAGTACCAAACCCTTAATTCTAATAACAATGGATTAACTATGAATTTTTTCATCGGTAATTGACTGTGTACATAACAGTGTTACAATTTTTAATTGATACATTAAAATTTGATATGAACTACATTTTAGAAGGAGGTTAGAAAGCTATTTTGATAGTTTGTTTTCTAATAGCATACATGTATCTGACATTCATAAGAGCAGGAAAACAAGATATATATTATGTATAAAAAGCATACATTTACTACCATTCTAAAGTTGCACTATGGCCCATCAACTGAAAAAAACATGGTTTTAACTGCTGCAATCCATTCCTAAAAAAACACTGCCATATTTAAATAGTGGATTTTCCCACCTGTCTCTAAGTGCCAAAATATTTTCTCTTTTCATCAATTTCCATGTAGGCTGACCTCTACCATATTCTTTTTAGAATCATCAACCCATGACACTGTGCTTGGAACAATGTAAATGCTCAAATGTTGGTTAAAATGACTTCACTACTTCATTTATCAAGTTAGTGCCACAGGTTATAACCAGGGCTTTCTATGGTGCTACAAATCTATCTCACTCCACTGTCCTTTACCTACTATGAAAGTTGCATTGATGGCTCCTAGTCTTACCAATGATGACTGTGAATTTCAGTTTTCACTTCCAATCTTTTTTGAATTTCCTCTCCAAAATCCCAGCTGCAGCTTTGTTCTCAGGTCCAATGAGATAAAATATAAAAGTTGTCAAATTACCTCAAGAATAGGGGCTGGCTTGATATACCTCTTGTAATTCTGGTGGGCAGCATTTTAGCACAAATGCAAATATTCAAATACTCATCTGTATCGTTTTCTAAATAACTTAATATTTGAGAATATTGGCCTATAACTCTTTTGCAACATTAGGCTGCTTTAAAAATCATGATTATAGCAGATTTTATGTTTTCAAATAGTTTATGTCAACAATTTGGATTCTGCTCTGAGATATGGAATATTCAGACAATGGCCAGACCATAAATGAAACTAGAACTCTGACCTACAGCCTCTACAGCAACCAGTCCAGGAAGCCAAACCTCTGTAGCAGTTGGCTGGAGCAATTAGGATTTAGTTCATTACTTCCAGCTTTCCTAATTTTTGCCTCTGCTACCAACTCAAACCAAACAGAAACTAAATAAATAAGCTCTCCAAACTAATTACATAAGATGTGATCGTGATTTGCCCACTTTCAAGTAAATGCCAACAACCTTCAATCAGAGCATACCAAACATACCTGAAGGCTTTCATTTTCTTCACTATGACACTTTGTCACTCCCTCAGTTGCCTGAGTCTCTGACAAATGCAAATGATCATTTCTGACACCCATCCTATGACACAGTTCAAATAACTAGCCTCTGTTTGTTCTTTTGGGGGTTATTTTCATTTATTTTTACTGCCCTAAAGTGATCTATGTTTTGAATGTTCCAGGGCAAACTGAGAATTAAGATTGGCTTCTGGCTATTTTTCTTACAAGCTGAAGATTATCAAACAATTTTTTCTCCTTAATTTAATTTTAAAATATTTTCCCACATTACACTAATTGTTTTAAAAAGTAATAGTGCATTGCTTAATATGATCATCTTCATTGATTCAGTGATTTATGTAGTATTCTACATAAGTTTAGGATTATTATGAAACAAAAAGTTATCGTTATTTCTGTTATCCTCCTAATCAATAGGGTAACTAAGTAGCAGAATTTCTTCTAATCAAATATGATCCATAAAAACTATATAATAAACTTTTTGCAAATATTTTACAAATCATAGAATTAAACAAGAAAAATACTGGATCAAAATTTGAGATAAATTACTTTCAAAAGGTTCATAAAATCAGTGACTTTGAATAATTAGCAAATACCTGTGATGCATATCTGATCTTAATTTGCAGATACTCCAGGAAAAGAAAATATAGACTGTGAAAATATAAGATTTACTTCTGTTTAAATCTACTCATGAACTTAAGTTTTATGTGATTAATTGTGGGTCACTTTTTAATGCAGATTGAATAGTAGATCTGCTAGGAGAGAAACTCAGCTCAATTAAGGAACATTTCCTCTGCTGAATGCTTCACCTTTATTTTCCCTCTCACATCCCTCCTTCCACAGTACCTGCGCCGAACACTCATGAAATTGCTCCCAAGTTGTAGCTGAAGATTAAACTGAAAAGTTTAATGAGTATATGTAGCAATTAAAAATGGATTAATTTAGAAATCATGGCTGCTTTTGATTAAATGGCAGGGGAAAGAAACACCTAAAACTAGCTAAAATTGAATTTTCAAATTTTAACAAGCAAATAAATCATCCTGGGATGGGGGGCTGGGTCTTGTTAAAAATACAGATTCTTAATCAGCTTTTTTTTTTTTTTTGAAAGAAAGTCTTCTTTTCTAACAAGCTTCCAGGTGATGCCAATGATTCAGATAGCATTTTGAGTATTAAGGGCCTGGAGATGTTCATTTTGGGAGTAATGGCTGTACATGTAATTATGCCTTACACAGATTAGATACATGCTTTAAGAATAAAGTGAAAACTCAGTCTCTTCTACATTTGTAGAAATTCTTCTCATTACTCACAGGGCTGACTGTAAAAATTTGAGGAGAACAATTATTTTAAAGTGTTTGTCTCAATATCTGGTAAACACTAAATACATGATAAATGTGTGCTATTACTGTGGCCCAGCTATTGAACAGAATCTTAATATCTAACATTAACTTCAAGTTTAGTGTTAAATACTGTTGTGTGTTTTATATGCATTATTCAAAATAGAAACTATTCCTAACCTTATTCTCATGGGTAGAAACATCAATCACTGGGAGGTGAGGTAGCTTGCCCAGAGCCCACAGGTAAACATCAAGGAAAAAAGGATTCAAATCCAAGCAATCTCACACTAAAGCCAAAAATCTAGAGCTCATTCACAAAATGACATTGTCAGATGCACACAGAACAGAGTTCAGATTCACATAGAACAGAGTTCTTAATTAGTATAAAGCTTTGCTAAATAACGTCAAGGACACAGGCAATTAAAGGACTCAGACAAGGTAGAGAGACGCCAAGGGCTGCTCCCACGGTTCTTCTTGGGTTAGATAAGCTTCTCTGGTCCAGAATCCATGAGGTGTTTCAGTGAGTTTCACAGGATTACCTCACAGAAGTCTAGCTTGTCAAGTATTACACATGACCATTTTATAGTACAGAGACTTGTATCACCTATGTGATGTTTTCCAGGAAGCATGCTAGTAGACCTGAGTAATCCTTAGCTAGGGACATCCAGCTAAGAATATTTAAGAGATAAACTCTCTTCCTCCTGGGCAAACATCATTAGTCTATTTACCCAGAGGTCAAGTTAACAAGAAGGGTAGCCCAGATGACCTGCTTTTCCCCACACACTGATTTCCTCAAACTTTACACCCCACCCAACAGGGAGAGGGATGAGTGGATCAGTGGCCAGATGCTTTAACTTCCTTTATTCTTTAACTAATAGGCAATCACTCAAAGTAGATAGTATATCTGTTATACTTAGACACAAACAGAGCCCCTATAAACAATAATGATAATTAGAAAGTGAGCAGCAATATTCAGATTTATTTATTTATCTGGAAAACTCCCACTGAGAAAGAAAGACAGGAATTAGGTAGATGGACAACAATACAAAGAGATCAAATGCCAAAGTGCAGAGAAGGGCATATGGTTCATCATGAGGAAGAGCAGGAACATATATTGCAAAGAGCATATATTCCAAAGAGTTCAAAAGTACAAGGCAGCAGGCAATAGCCAAGAAGGACACAGGAGAAAAGAGACCAATCAGAGGAAAACAATAAGTACCTTTATAATAATATGAAAACTGCAGCAACTCTTTGGCCCAGGCCCAGGCTTTCTAAATGATTTCTGATGAAAACAGTGGCTAATCCGAGTGTGATTTACCTAGCTCTTGCAGGTGGAAAGAGCTAACTGGTAGCAGCTGTTTAGAAGCAACATGCCCAACCCAGGGAAAGGAGCAGCTCCAGGCCAGTAGATTAGCCTAACAGATCTGGGAGAAGGATAAATTGGGGCCATTCCTGAGCTTAATCAAAGTTGCATAATTGTCAAAGGAAAACCAATCTCATAATTTCATTCTGATTAACTATTTCATTTCTACGTTTTAATTCTGTCGAAAATTTTGGCTGAAATAGTAAATTCTGTTTCATTATTGCTTCATTTAACCTAAAGTGCTTTTTTGAATGCTCATTTGCCAGAAAGGAATTGTGCAGACATCCAGGATAAAACCCTTGAGTTGAAGAATACAGCATGCCAAGAAATTACTCTCTTATGTGGTGATTAATATAAATTTAAGACTTTTGGCTGAATCAGCACATTTGAAATCATACTCTGCACTTGCAAAGATGCACAACACTTCTCTTTGTTTGTTCTGATATGATGAGAAAGGAATGAGGTGTGATTGATATTAAAAGCTAAGTTTGTCTGGAGATTTGTCAGGAACCAGCACCAAGGGAGATAATATTGTGTCTTATTGAGATTGAAGAAGAGTAAGCTCAAAGAATTGCACAAATATGTTTTTGAAATGTGAAGATTAATAAGAATTGTTTAAAAAATGGTGACAAAGTTTTCATTCAAAATACCTCTCATAAAATGCAGTAGCAAATCTCATCATAAAATGTGCAGAATTCTGTTGCCTTCACCAGGTTGTCACCTCTAATATCACTGGGTGATGGATGAAAAAACATTCACGTTTGCCATTGATTTAGGACTCTGAGCTGCTTTCCAAGTCATTCAGCATTTTGTGTGATAAATTATATCTAAAGTTCCCCCAAATAGTTTGTTTTATTGTTCTTTTTAGGCGATCACCTACCAGATATTTGAAGAGCTCCTACTCTAGTAAATGAGATTGAAATTGCTTGCCTCAAACAATCCATTTTCTAATTTTGATTGTTGCAAATTTCTAAAAGTACTGAGTCCTTGTTGTGGATCAACGATTTCTCTTCCTGTGACTTTATGTAAGACAATTCTGTGTATGTCATTTTCCTATGCTCTAAAAATGGCCACAATTTCTTATCCTGCAAATCTTACAAATGTGTGAAGCATGAAAATGTGTGAAGCATAAAAATGTGTCTGATTGAAAAAAAATCATTGAAAAACTTAAAAGCAGTCTGAACATTAAACTTTTATAGTTATGAAAATTATGTTTGGTCCATGATTATTTTTTGTTATCTGGGCATTTTTACTAATGACAGCCTACTCTACTTTAACTTGAACTTAGCTATGTCACTAAGCTGAAGGAATATGATCAGTACTTCATAGAAACTATATTTATGTGCTCAAATTCCTGTGATACAAAAACAATACAAGTCAAAAATGAGATAGTCTATGAGTTATTTTAAGCCCATCTCTATTTACTTTTCATTACTCCTAGAGATTTTTTTCAGAGTCCCCTATATCTCCCATCTTTGATCAAAACCTATGCCTACGTGTGCTATCACGTTCTTCTATTACTGGCAGTTTTAAAATGCAAATATCCCCTGCAAGATTATGTGGTGTGCTTTATTTAACCTTTGTTCTTAAGGTTTAAAATGTTAAGAAAATAAGTCAATAGTAGAACAAATGCAAAAATATATTTTCTTAGGGGATGTGTGTGGGGAAAAGAAAGAGAGATCAAACTGTTACTGTGTCTATGTAGAAAGAAGTAGACATGAGAGACTCCATTTTGTTCTGTACTAAGAAAAATTATTTTGCCTTGAGATGCTGTTAATCTGTAACCCTACCCCCAACCCTGTGCTCACAGAAACATGCGCTGTGTTGACTCAAGGTTTAATGGATTAAGGGTAATGCAGGATGTGCTTTGTTAAACAAATGCTTGAAGGCAGCATGCTTGTTAAAAGTCATCACCACTCCCTAATCTCAAGTACCCAGGGACACAAAACACTGCGGAAGGCTGCAGGGACCTCTGCCTAGGAAAGCTAGGTATTGTCCAAGTTTTCTCCCCATGTGATAGGCTGAAATATGGCCTTGTGGGGAGGGAAACACCTGGCTGTCCCCCAGCCTGACACCCATAAAGGGTCTGTGCTGAGGAGGCTTAGTAAAAGAGGAAGGTCTCTTTGCAGTTGAGATAAGAGGAAGGCATCTGTCTCCTGCTGGTCCCTGGGCAATGGAATGTCTGAGTGTAAAACCGGATTGTATATTCCATCTACTAAGATAGGAGAAAACCGCCTTAGGGCTGGAGGTGAGACAGGCTGGAGGCAATACTGCTCTTTAAGGCATTGAGATGTTTATGTACATCAAAAGCACAGCACTTTTTCCTTTACTTTGTTTATGATGTAGAGACATTTGTTCACATGTTTTCCTGCTGACCCTCTCTCCACTATTACCCTATTGTCCTGCCACATCTCCCTCCCCGAGAAACCCCCGATAATGATCAATAAATACTGAGGGAACTCAGAGACTGGGGCCGGTGTGGGTCCTCTGTATGCTGAGCACCTGTCCCCTGGGCCCATTTTCTTTCTCTATACTTTGTCTCTGTGTCTCTTTCTTTTCTCAAGTCTCTCGTTCCACCTGACGAGAAACGCCCACAGGTGTGAAGGGGCAGGCCACCCCTTCAATGTGAACAGACAACACGATGAGTGATGCAAAGATTTTTCCAGCCCTCTTTGGCCTGACATGCATTATTGGTTCATGTAGAGAGGGCTGTACCAGTATTTTTACTAAGTAAGCAATCTCCTTTTTGCAGAGCTGCTAACACCTACATAAACTATATTCAGTAACTGAACCAGATACCATAATCAATGGGGGAGGGGAAAAGACATTTGATTTCAGAGAAATCCAATGCACCAAGAAAACACCATATTTTTGTTGTATAATTGTTTAGAAAAAAAGAATATCTACTTATAATACCTGACATAGGCAAGAGGAAGAATCATGAAACCTTGGTGTGGCGTGGAGGGGAAGAGAGCAGTGCCCCAATAGCTTGGCTCCATGTAGACTCTACAGAGAAGCTGGCTAAAAACAAATACCTTGCCTCCTTGTCTCACACACTGAATCAGAACTTTACAGAGGAAACCAAGAAATTCTATATTAAAATTGACTCTAATGTAACTTCTGTATAGCTAGATATTTAGAGATGAGTGCCAAATCATATAGTTCAACTCTTTAGTAGTGACTAGGGTGTTGAAGCTCAAAGATTGATTTGGCTACCCAGATTCCCAAAGCACATCATAGCAAACAGAACTTCAGTCTCTCACACTCTTTACTCTCCATGGGCTGTTTCCATACACTCAAGAGCTTATGAAGATACCTTTTTTACCCACAATACCCATATTGGACTGTCACTGGAAAAATCAAGACATTAAACAAATTTACCTCAGGTTTCATTTCTGTGTCCTTTTTTTCCTATAACTAACACTCCATTCTTTATTAAGTAAGACTTTGCTTTCACTTCTCACTATAAAAAGTAAACAAGCAAGTAAATCTTTCCTCAGTAAGTGACTTGGGATATAAGCTCTACAAGTAGACATCTGGCTGTAGTAGTGTGAAGAAGCTTACTAATCCTCTCCCTAAATAATAAGTCTAAAACTATTTAAAATTATCTTTAACAACCATTTTGAGGGCTGCAGAAATCAATCAAAGAAAAACAAGAAGTTGAGAAGCATTTATTCATAAAAACTGCTGCAGTTTTGTATAATACCAATGAGAATCTGTGGCCTTTTCACCATGCTGCCATCCTCCTAACTCAGTTGGTGAGCATAAATTTTACCAGTGTAGAAAAAGGCGAGAAAACAGCAACACTGTTGGCAGGGGGTGGACTTATTTTTAAGCAAGGGATATAAACTGATGGAAATATTGTCAGAAGGAGTGAAGAAATACAAATAATGTTTTTTTATCACAGAGAATTCCATTAGAGTGAACAGCAGAAAGAAAATTGGGAACACCAAATTATTTGAAAATTAAGCAGAACAATTCTATGTAACTCAGGAGTAAATGAAGAAATCAAAGAGGAAGTTAGAAAATATCTTAAACCTAAATGAAAAAGAAAGTCAAATTATATAGAAACATTGTCATATGTAGTTACAGCAGTGCCGACAGGGAAGTTCACAGAATACTTAATCATAAAAAGGAAAAAAAATCTAAAATAAAAAATTGAGTTTTCATCTCAAGAGGTCAGAGGACCAAGGCAAAGCTAAATAGAAGTAAGGAAGTAAGAAAAATTGGAGTGAAAATCCATGAAGTAGAAAACACAAGAGTAGAAAAATGAATGAAGTCAAGAGTGGCCTTTTTGCAAAGGGGAGTTACTAATCAATGAGAATAAAGTTTTAGTTAAGAAAGATGTGCACAAGCAACTCAACAGCAAGAAAACAAAGTGACTAAAAAATGGGCATAGGAACTGAATGGACATTTCTCAAAAGAAGACATACAAAAGACTAACAGCCATATGACAAGGCACTCAACAACACCAATCATCACAAAAATAAAAATTGAAACCACAATCACATATTACCTCATACCTCTAAATAGGAAGTTTAACAAAAAGATAGAACATAAGCAGTGTTGAGGATGTAAAGAAAGGAGACACCTTGTATACTGTAGGAGAGAATGTACACTAGTACAGGCACTGTGGAAAACATTATAGAGGTACTTCCAAAAATTAAAACTAGAAGTACCATATTATCCAGCAATCCCATTTGGGGATATATATCCAAAGGAAATGAAATCAGTATGTCAAAGAGATACCTGGACACCCATATTCATTGCAGCACTATTCACAATAGACAAGATTTGAAATTAACCTAAGTTTCTATCAGTGGATGAATAGAATAAGAAAATGTATATATACAAATTGGAATACTATTCAGCTCTAAAAAGAAGGAAATCCTGTTATTTGTGACAACATAGATTAACAGGCAGGACATTAAATAAGCCAGGCACAGAAAAATACATATCTTCTGATCTCACTTATATGTGAAATCTGAAACAACTAAACTCATAGAAGTAAATAACACAATGATGATTACCAGAAACCAGGGTTGGGGAGAGGAGGCAGAATCAGGGGATGTTGGTTAAAGTGTTCAAAATCCCACTCAGGCAGGTGGAATAAGTTTTGGAGATAAATTGTGCAGCATAGTAACTATAATTGACTATAATGTATAGTGTACTTAACAAATATCAACAATTTTTGAATATGTTTTAAATATCCTCATCACAAATATGACAGATATGTGAGGTGACAGATACATTAATCAGGTCAATTGAATCATTCCACTATGCATTCATCAAAACATCATGTTGTACATCATATATATACATAATTTGTCACTTGCTGATTTTAAAACACAAATAAAAATAATAAATAACTGATATCTGCTGTACAACATTGAACCTATGGTCACAAAAATAATGTATTGTATACTTAAAATGTTGTCAAAAGGGTAGATCTCAGGTTTAGTATTCTTACCAAAATAAAATTTAGAAAAATAACTAAAAAATAAAGATCATTTATCAACAAAGTTGGTAAACCTTTGGTTAGACTAAAAGAAAGAGAGAAAGAGAGAGAGAGAGAGAAAGACAGAAAGAAAGAGAGAAAGAGAAAAAGAAAGAGACAGAGAAAGAAAGAGAGGAAAATGAAAGGAAAAGAAAGAGAAAGAGAAAGAGAAGGACATTACTAAAGTTAGAACTACATGGTCTCATCATTAGAGGTGTTAGAAATTAAAAGTTACAGGCAAATATTGTGAAAAAACTTTTTTTTTTTTTGGCGACAGTCTTATCCTGTCACTGTCACTGATGTGGTTTGGCTGTGTCCCTACCCAAATCCCACCTTGAATTTTAGCTCTCATAACTCCCATGTGTTGTGGGGGGCACCTGGTAGGAGGTAAATGAATCATAGGGGGGTAGCTTTTCCCATGCTGTTCTAGTGATAGTGAATAAGTCTCATGAGATCTGATGGTTTTATAAAGAGGAGATCCCCTGCACATGTTCTCTTGTCTGCTGCCATGTAAGACGTGACTTTGCTCCTCATTCGCCTTCCACCGTGATTGTGAGACCTCCCCAGCCATGTGGAACTGTGAGTCAATTACACCTCCTTCCATTATAAATTATCCAGTATTAGGAACATCTTTATTACCAGCATGAGAACAGATTAATAGAGTAAATTGCTACCAGGATTGGGGCATTGCTATAAAGATACCAGAAAATGTGCAAGCAACTTTGGAACTGGGAAACAGGCAGAGGTTGGAACAGTTTGGAGGGCACAGAAAAGATAGGAAAACGTGAGAAAGTTTGAAACTTCCTACAGACTTGTTGAATGGCTTTGGCAAAATGTTGATAGTGATATGGACAATAATGTCCAGGTTGATATGGGTCACATGAAGAGGAGAAACCTGTTGGGAACTGAAGCAAAGGTGACTCTTGCTATGCTTTAGCAAAGACTCTGGCAGCTTTTTGCCCCTGCCCTAGAGATCCGTGGAACTTTGAACTTGAGAGAGATGATTTGAGGTATTCTCGTGGAAGAAATTTCTAAGTGTCAAAGCATTCAAGAGGAAGCAGAGCATAGAAGTTTGGTAAATTTCCAGCCTGGTGTTGCAATAGAAAATAAAAACCCATTGTCTGGGAAGAAATTCAAGCCCACCACATAAATTTGCATATGTAACAAGGAGCCACATGTTAATCACCAAGACAGTGAGGAAAATGTCTCCTGGGCATGTGAGAGACCTTCACAGCAGTCCCTCCCGTTACAGGCCTGGAGGCCAAGGAGGGAAAAATGGATTCCTGGTCAGGGTCCAGGGCCCCCCTGCTGTATGCAGCCTAGGGACTTGGAGCCCTGTGTCCCAGCTGCTCCAGCCATGGCTAAAAGGGGCCAAGGTAGAGCTCAGGCCATGGCTTCAGAGGGTGAAAGCCCCAAGTCTTGGTAGCTTCCACATTTTATCGAGCCTATGGGTGCACAAAAGTCAAGAATTGAGGTTTCCATACATCCTTGCAGAGGATATATGAAAATACCTGGATGTCCAGACAGAAGTCCAATGCAAAGGCAGAGCCCATATGGTGAACCTCTAGTAGGGCAGTGTAGGAAGGAAATGTGGGGTTGGAGTCTCACACAGAGTTGTCACTGGGACACTGCCTAGTGGAATTGTGAGAAGAAGACCACTGTCCTCCAGAATCCAGTATTGTAGATCCACTGACAGGTTGCACCAAGTGCCTGGAAAAGCTGCAGAAACTCAATACCAACCAATGAAAGCAGCAAGGAAGGAGGCTACATCCTGCAAAGCCACAGAGGCAGAGATGCCCAAGACCATGGGAACACACTTCTTGCATTATTAGCATGACATGGATGTGAGACATAGAGTCAAAGGAGATCATTTTGGAGCTTTAAGATTTGACTCCCCCACTAGATTTCAGACTTGCATAGAGCTGGTAGTCCCTTCGTTTTGTCCAGTTTCTCCCATTTGGAATGGGTGTATTTACCCAATGCCTGTATTCCCATTGTATCTAGGAAGTAATTAACTTGCTTTTGATTTTACAGGCTCCTAGGTGGAAGGGACTTGCCTTGTCTGAGATGAAACTTTACACTGTAGACTTTTGAGTTAATGCTGAAATTAGTTAAGATTTTGGAGGACTGTTGGGAAGGCATAATTGTGTTTTGAAATGTGAGTACATGTGTCCCCACCCAAATCTCATCTTGAATTGTAGATCCCATAATTCCCACATACCGTGGGAGGGACCCAGTTGGAGGTAATTGAATAATGGGGGTGTGCTTTTTCCTGTAATGTTCTCATGATAGTGAATAAGTCCCATGAGATCTAATGGTTTTATAAAGGGTAGTTCCCCTGCACACGCTCTCTTGCCTGTTTCCATGTAAGACATGTCTTTGCTCCTCCTTCACCCTCCACCATGATTGTGAGGCCTCCCCAGCCATGTGGAGCTGTGAGTCTATTAAATGTCTTTCTCTTTATAAATTACCCAGTCTTGCGTATGTCTTTATTAGCAGTGTGAAAACAAACTAATATGGTAGCCCAGGCTGGAGTGCAGTGGCATGGTCTCTGCTCACTGTGGCCTCTGCCTCCCAGGTTCAAGCAATTCTCATACCTCTGCCTCCTGAGTAGCTGGGGTTATAGACATGTGCAACCACACCCAGTTAATTTTTGTATTTTTAGTAGAGATGGAGTTTCACCATGTTGGCAAGGCCCCACCTCAGGTGATCTGCCCACCTTGACCTCCCAAAGCACTGGGATTACAAATATAAGCCACTGCGTCCAGGCTGAAAAAAAGTTTATGGCAACAAATTATGCAACTTTGAAAAAGTGGACATATGCCTAAAAAAACACAGAAAATACCCTACTGACTCAGGAAGTATTAGAAAATCTTAAAGACCGCTAAACATAAATGAATTCAATTAACAAGTAAACGTCTTTTCACAAATAAAATTTAATTCCCAGATTTCTTCACAGATAAATTCTATCAAATGTTTAAGGAATAAATACCATTATTGGATGAAGAATTGCAGATAATAGAGGAAATTATCTGATTTGGCTAGTGTAGGTTTGATACCTAAGCCAGATAATTAATGCATAAAAAATCTATAGACCAATGTCTCTTATAAACCTAGATGCAAAAATCCATAAGATAATATTGGGAAATGAAATTCAGTGACACATAAAATAATTTACATACCATGGCCAAAAGGAATATATCTCAGGAATACAAAAATAGTTTTAACATTTGAAAATCAATTAATGTAACATACCATATTAACTGAATAAGGAATAACTACATGATTATATCAATAAATACACAAAAATAATTTGATAAATTTTAAAATCTTATGATAAAAATTATCATCAAACTACTAATAGAGGAAAATGCCTTTAACCTAATCAAAGGAATCTAGAAAAAATTATTTAGCTAACATCATATCTAAAAAGAAATAAAAAGCAAAGAATAAAAAAGAAAGCTATAATTAAACAATAAAGAAGGAAGGAAAGAAGAAACAGCCTGAAAATAATTGCAACTATGCTTTAAAAGCCTGTTTCCTAGTCTATTCTCTCTCATAAGAATTTTCTTACCCTGAAAAAAATAAATTATAATAATTGCATTCCTATTTACATATTAAGCAAATAATGAGGGAGTATTTAGAGTTAACAGAGAATTTCTTCCCAATTTTGATTATATAATATCCCCACATAGATTTTATGGTTCAGAAAATGGGCAGAAGTGAGTTATCTTTTTGGTATTTGTTTTGTCATTCATTCAATCATTTGTTTACTCTAAAATTTTCATTCAACAACTATGACAGTTCAGCCACTATGCTACTTTGATTAGTGTTGGTGACACAAAAGGAAATTTAATAATTGTTCTTAACTTTTATTGTTCACAAACTATGAGGAAATAAAAGAGAAGAAGGGAAGTTGAAAGAAGGAAAAGCAGCATAAGGGAATAAAAGGAAAGAAAAACACAAAAATTTATTGACAACTTACTACATTCCAAGTTCTATATGCTGTACATTCACACACTTTATTTAACTTAATTTGATTTATTTAATTCCCACTATCTTACTATAAATTGCCTTATATATTTTTAATTTTAGACTGGTGGAAGCAGTCTCAGAGAGATTATAAAATGAGACCTTCGTTGTTCAGCTGGTAAGAGACAGATGCTACCACTCTTTGCAAGATAAAAGGCAGTTTTCCTAGGCATAAATGGTGCCCTGTAAATATAGAGAAAACCTTCCAAATGCTGTGTTTATTAATACAAAGCATATGTAGAAGTGCTGTGGAGCTACAGAGTACAAAGCCTCTAATTCTGCATCAGGACCCAGTGGAGGGATGCTCTGTAAGAACTTAGAGAAGGATGCCCTGATCGCCAGGCTCAGCTAGAGTTTACTGAGAGCAAAACAGAGAATTAGTCTCAACAGATACTTTTTCCATACTAAGAAGAAGTACTATATTAGATACTGAGAAGAGAGTGGTGGATAAGACATATACAGTTCTTGCCCTTACGGAGTTTGGAACTCATAGTGTATCATTTTTTTAAACTTTTATTTTAATTTCAGGGATACATGTACATGTTTGTTACATAAGTAAACATGTGCTATGAGGGTTTACTGTACAGATTATTTCATCATCCAGGTAATAAGCCTAGCACTCATTAGTTATTTTTCCTGATGCTTTTCCTCCTCCCACTTTCCACCCTCTGATAGGCCCCAGTGTGTTTTGTTCTGCTCTACGAGCCCACGTGTTCTCATCATTTAGCTCCCACTTATAAGTGAGAACATGCTGCATTTTATTTTCTGTTCCTGAATTAGTTTGCTAATGATAATGCCTCCAGCTCCATTTATGACCTTGCAAAGGGCATAATCTTATTATTTTTTATGGCTGCATTGTATTTCATGGTGTATATGTACCACATTTTCTTTATCTAGCCTATCATTGATTGGGTCTCACTCTGTCACCTAGGCTGGAATGCAGTGGCTCAATCTCAGCTTACTACAACCACCATCTCCCAGGCTCAAGTGATCCTCCAATCTCAGTCTCTGGAGTTGCTGAGACCATAGGCATGGGACACCATGCCCAGCTAATTTTTCATATTTTGGTAGAGATGGGGTTTCACCATGGTGCCTAGGCTGGTCTCAAATGCCTGACCTCAAGTGATCTGCTCACCTCGGCCTCCCAAAATGCTGGGATTACAGGCATGAGCTGCACGGTTTCTTTTAGTCTATAGTTATGATAACTGGCACCAAAAAAAAAATGAAAAAAATAGTTTGTGTAAGACACTCTTGAGTTATGTGGCTTTAGTCCAATTTAAGGGGATTAGGAAATTTTTTGTGACAGAAACAAAGCTTGCCTTAGTCTCCAGGGATTAGCCAGAATTAGTCAAGGAGAGAGGACCTGAAGTATCGGTTAAAAAGGATATTCCAGGCCGAAAGAAGAGCAAGTGGAAAGTCAGGGAAGAAACAGACATAAAAATATAATAAACATTTAGAATGAAACCCATATTGACAATATTATATATATATATATATATATATATATATCAGATATATTTGAACCATAATACTCTGCAATAATTTGTGCTATGTAGTGTGGTAGTTGCTCTAAAATCATTTCATTTCTAACACGATCCTTTGAAGAAAATATGCTATGTTAGTATTCATGATTTCTGAGGAATTCTAATTATCTTCTGCATTATGTAGGGCTCAGTATCAAATTGAAGAAGCAATCTTACATATCAAGAGAGAAAATTAATAAAAAAGGTTGGGTAAAGCAAGAGCAGTAGCATTAATGGTGACAAACTAAAATTATAAATAACACTTTTCTTCTACCTAAATAATCATTGGAGATTTCATTATTTACTAAAAAATATTCAGTGCTTGGAGCAAATACATCTGGATGCTCATTGACTTTGCATTCTAATCCAACCTCTTAATACCTTGTTTTTTTGTTTTGTTTTTAATCTCTTTAACGAGTATTGGTTTTACCTACCTCAAAAAGTTATTCCATGTGAAATACAATGTTTAATTTCTGCTGCCATTTTCCTAGTTTAGAGCTTCATCATTCCAATCCTGGGTAACTGCAATGACCTTCCTTTTTTATATATATTCTTTGTCTTTCTAATTTAAACTATAATATTAGAAAACTTCCTAAATATTTATCTTATCAACTTATTTTATCTTTCAAAATCCTATATTGGATTTCCATTGTGAGTAGAGTTATGCTTACATAGTTCTTTCCATATTTCAGTCTGTCCCTTTGTATCCAAGGAACCACTGTTCCACACCCAACCAGAGGTCTTTTTATCACCCAAAGTGTTTCATCACACTACTGAGAACATACCATCAACATGACTGTACTCACCAAAACACTGGCCTTGTCCTTATCATCATATAAACCTTATCCATTCTTTAATATATAACTTCTGTCAACCTTTTTATAACCTTCATGACAATTTTTGAAACTACTACAATTCACATTAATCTATACTTTCTTTGAAGGCCAAGTCTATTGATTGTTTAATACATTTGATTAAATTAGTTTAAATAACAGTTTCTTTTGATTTCCTGTGCTGTACCCTCAGTACATTTTAAGCTCCTTAAGGGCAAAGTCATGTCATGCTCTTCTTCTAAATCATCTACAATTACAACTACCAACCATTTATAAAATCAATAAATATTCAGAGAATTATATTAAGCAAAATAGTTTTGTGCTAGAGTAAGTTAGGAAACATGATACTATGACCTTCTCTCTGGAATGGATCATACAGTTCTGTAGGCCCAAAGGAAGAGAAGGGCATAGCTATCATAACCAAGTCTTTTCTTTCAATGGCTAAAAGTATTTCTCTAATGTCCTGTGTTATTAGTATTCAGAGTAAACTAATGTTCAGGATTTGTGATTTTTTTAAAGAAGCACAAACCTTGATCAAAAGCAGTTAAGAGATCTTTTTAAAATATCTCCTCTCTCAAGAAGGCAAGCCATAAATTAAATATATAGAAAATTTTCCATACATTTTGCCCTTTATGACAAGCTCAAATTTTTCAAATCAGCTGAAGAAAAAAGGTTGTTTTCCTCTTCAAGACCTGCTGCATACCACAGTACTATCTGTGAAAGAAGTGTCCCACAGAGTTTTCGCTGTCATGGCAAATGAAAGAAATTTTGCTCTTGTCATCGTCTGATTCAGGGAGTTTGATCAAATACTCTGAACTAGCCTTTAGAATATCTTACATGTTTCCTTCAAAAAGAATGTAAATAGAAGTATAACAATCACTATATCATGTCATATCATATACTATCATAGCAATTATTAAATTTTGATAAGATTACCACCTGGCAAATGAAAACCAATATAAATTTCAAGATGCATATATTCAGAATCTGACTTTAAAAAACATAGAGGAAAAGCCCTATGACATCGATCTAGGTAATTGGTTTATGAATATGACCCTAAAAATACACACAACAAAACCAAAAATAAAATAGGATTATGTCAAATAAAAAACTTTTGCATAGCAAAGGAAACAACTAACAGAGTGAAGAAATAATACATGGATTGGGGAAAAACATTTGCAAACCATATATCCAATAAGGAACTAATATCAAAAATGTATAAAAATCTCAATTCAATCAAAAAAATCCTGATTTTAAAATGGACAAAGGGCCTGAACTGATATTTCTTAAAAGAAGACATATAGTCAACAGCTATATGATAAAATGCTCAACATCACTAATCATCAGGGAAGTGCTGGCTAACACCACAATGAGATACCACCTCAGACCTGTTGGAATGATTATTATCAAAAAAAATCACAAGAATGTATCAAATATTGTCAAGAACAGAGAAAAAGGAACCCTTGCACACTGTTGATCATGTAAATTGATACAGCCATTATGGAAAAAAATATGAAGATTACTCAAAAAAACTAAAATACTATATAAACTAGCAATTCTACTTCTGGATATGTATCCAAAGGAATTAAAATCAGTATGTTACAAACATATTTGCCCTCCTACGTTTTTGAGGCATTATTCACAATAGGCAAGAAATGGAAGCAAACTAAGGTCTATCAATGAATGACTGGATAAAGAAAATATGGTATACATGCACAATAGAATACTATACAGCCTTATAAAAGAAGAAAATTGATTATTTCTAAAAACATAGATGAATCTGGGGGACATTATGCTAAGTGAAATAAGCAAGACAGAGAAAGATAAGTACTATAAAATCTCACTTGTATGTAAAATCTAAAAATGTCAGACTCATAGAAGCAGTTTGTTACCAGAGGATGAAGGGGAAACGTTGAAGAAAGAGGAGATGTTGGTTAAAGGGTACAAAGTTTCAGTTAGAGAGGAGGTGCGTTTTAGTGGCCTACTGAACAGCATGGCGACTATAGTTAATAATAATGTATTGTATATTTGAAAGTTGGTTAAAATTTGATTTTAATTGTCCTCATCACAAAATAATAGTAAGTATATGAGGTGATGGACATGTTCATAAGCTTGATTTAATTATCACACAATGTGTAAATATATCAAGATATTACATTGTGCCCCATAAATATGTACAATTAATATTTGTTAATTAAAATAAAATCTAAAACAGAGGTTTATTGTTGACTTTTTATTTTTCTAAAACCATAAATTGGCTTTATCTGTTACCTTATTTAATCTTTCCATGGAAACTGGTAGGTGGGCATGATTACTTCAATTTTTTTTTTTTTTTTTTTTTTTTTTTTTTTTTTTTTTTTTTTTTTTCAGAGTCTCACTCTGTTGCCCAGGCTGGAGTGCAGTGGTGCAATCTCAGCTCCCTGAAACCTCTGCCTCCCAGGTTCAAGTGATCATATTTTTAGACTATTAACTGAAGTTTAGATTTCATATGAAACTTGTCCAAATTCATGATATTAGAAAAAAGACTCAAACACAGATCCTCTTCCCCAAGTATATTATTTTTATTATACCAGTTGATAACATGCAAACAATTATTACTACAATTACATCATTTCATATACTTACTGTAAATTAATAATATCCAGTATCATATTTAATCTACTAACTACACACATTTCTTAAACTTTACTGAATCCAAGATATTATATTTGAAACAAACATAATCTGGGAAGTGTTTCTTCTTCTTTGACACACTTGATTTTCATTAAAATCTTCCCCAAAATGTGTTGGTTACAAAAACACTTAATCATAACCAGACACACATATTTGGTATTTTTATTGTAGTATTTATTTTCTTTTATGGTGGCAGAACTTTCATTAGCATTCCTATAGCTCACAAATATATAATCTAAAAATATTGGAACTTTGTCAGAAGTATTTAAAAGAATTTTAGGGTCACTAATATTTAAAAAAATCTGACTACAAAACATAAATACATTTCTTTATTTTATAAACAGAAATCCTAATGGCTTGTGTATAGACTAGTTAGAAGAGGAGATGTGATTTGTTTCAGCAAGGAAATTATACACTACTCTCTTATGATTAATGTTGAGTTGTCTCCTTGGTGATTTTGAACTATTTTTTATGAGTTTGGTTTTAAAACTGAGATCACAACCTTTGTAGAACTGAATCCTCCAACTTTGTCGATTACCAGTAAAGTCCAAATCACATGCATTTTTGTACTTCAATGTTCTACAAAAACACTCAGCACTTGATTATGCCTTCATTTCTTATAAGAATCAGCAGATGTACTGATGCTACGGGAGGGAATTTTAGGTTCATCTGCACCAAGGATTCATATCAAGACTTACAATATAAGACTAGAACACAGTGGAAACAACCAGTTTACGCGTTTGGGTGCAAAAATAGATAAGATGTACAAAACTATGTGATTCTATTTTGAAGGAGCAAATGGTAGGAAGATGTAACCGTTTAAGAAGTATAGTGAATTTAATGGTGCCCCCCCAAAAAAATATATTTTACCTGGAAACTGTGAACATGATCTTACTTGGTAAAAAGGGCTTAAAAGATGTAATTAAGTTAGTAATATGAATATTCCATTAGCCACCCTTCAATGTTTATGCTTACATGGGAAACAAGTACATTTTAAGGTAATAAGCATACTAATAAATATTGTATGTATTATTATGAATAATAATTCTGCTATACTGCAATAGACTGAAAGTGTGTGTCCGCCGACCCTAATCCCAATGTGATGGTATTTGAAAGTGGGGCCTTTGGGAGGTAATTATGTAATGAGAGTGGAGCCCTCCTTGGTAGAATTAGTGCTCTTATAACAAGAGGCCAGAGACCTAACTAGCCCTCTTTCTGCCATGGGATGATACAATGGGAAGTCAGCAGTTAGCAACCTAGAAATGGGCCCCCATCAACCAACCATACTAGCACTCTGATATCACACTTACAGACTCCAGAACTGTGAGAAATAAATTCCAGTGGTTTATAAGCCACCCTGTCTATGGCATTTTGTTATAGGAGACTGAACTAAGACCTTCCCTGATTTCGTTTAATGCTCACAGTAACTGACAAGCCAATATTATTATCACTTCTTCACAACAGAGGAAATTGAGGAAAAGATATAATGACTGCCTAAGGCCATACAACTGGAAAAGGGAAAAAATCAGGATTTGAATGTTGGTGTATGTTTTTCCACTGTCTGTGCTTTTAACTATTTCACACTGCTGCTTGTAGAAATAACACATAATTAAGGACTAACTACCAATTCCCAATAAGTAATACATTTTACTAATCTGTCCATTTATCAGTTGATATCCACAATTCCACAAACATCACAAGTGATGAGCACTTTTAAATATAGCAGGATAAACCTGGTTTTATCTAAATTATAAATTATTAGCCAAAGGGAAGATAACTGAAATTTAATAAGACACTTTGGACTTGATGTTCAGTATACCCATTAGTTATTATTACACAGATCATATGGAGTATATATATATTTTCAAAACAGCAAAGATATTTCATTTGATGATTTTCAATAGATTTTTATGAAACACATTTTATTGGGCTAAATAAATGAAACACTATCTCTGTGGTATTTCTGCATATACATATTCTTTTCTTTACAGGTTTTGAATTTTTGCAAAAATGACATACAAACAGATGGTGGGTTTTGAAACTTTTGCCTCATGCAGTAAATGTACCTTTGTCCAGATGGACATCAGGCTTCAGTGCCAATATTGTACCTCTAACATATGGACAAGAACATTTATGGCAGAATACACTATGTTCATCTTTGTACTTCAACGCAGAAAATGTTTGATTAATTGTTATCCATCATTAGTTTCTGTGGTCAGGGAATCAGAGAGCAAAAGATGGTTAAATAAAATATCAGAAACACTAACTTCAAGTCATTTAACCATGTGTATTTAGCAAAATCTTTCTTACCACATTACAAATTTCATTCTATGAATGTGCTTTTTAAAAGTTTTATTTATATAAAAGTTATATAGGCTGGGTACAGTGGCTCACGGCTGTGATCCCAGCATTTTGGAAGGCCAAGGCAGGCAGACAATGACATCAAGAAATCGAGACCATCCTGGCCAACATTGTGAAACCCCGTCTCTACTAAAAATATAAAAATTAGCTGGGCATGGTCGCGCACACTTGTAGTTCTAGCTACTTGGGAGGCTGAGTCAGGAGAATCACTTGAACCCGGGAGGAGGTTGCAGTAAGCTGAGATCACACCTGTTGCGGGAAGTCAGGGACCCCAAACAGAGGGACCGGCTGAAACCATGGCAGAAGAACATGGATTGTGAAGATTTTATGGACATTTATTAGTTCCCCAAATTAATACTTTTGTAATTTCTTATGCCCGTCTTTACTGCAATCTCTAAACATAAATTGTAAAGATTTCATGGACACTTATCAGTTCCCCAATCAATACCCTTGTGATTTCCTATGCCTGTCTTTAATTTAATCTCTCAATCCTGTCAGTTGAGGAGGATGTATATCATCTCAGGACCCTGTAATAATTGCGTTAACTACACAAATTGTACAGCCTGTGTGTTTGAGCAATATGAAATGTGGGCACCCTGAAAAAAGAACAGGATAACAGCAATTGTTCAGGGAATAAGACAGATAACCTTAAACTCTGACCGCCTGTGAGCTGGGCAGAACAGAGCCATGTTTCTCTTCTTTCAAAAGCAAATGGGAGAAATATCGCTGAATTCTTTTTCTCAGCATGGAACGTCCCTGAGAAAGAGAATGTGCACCTAGGGGTAGGTCTCTAAACTGGCCCCCCTGGGCATGGTAGTCTCTTATGGTCGAGACTGCAGAGGTGAAATAGACTCCAGTCTCCCATAATGCTCTCAGCCTTATTAGGAAGAGGAAATTCCCACCTAATAAATTTTGGTCAGACCAGTTGATCTCAAAACCCTCTCTCCTGAAAAGATGTTATCAATGACAATGGTGCCTGAAACTTCATTAGCAATTTTAATTTCGCCTTGGAGCTGTGGTCCTGTGATCTCGCCCTGCCTCCACTTGCCTTGTGATATTCTATTACCCTGTTAAGTACTTGATGTCTGTCACTCACACCTATTCGCACACTCCCTCCCTTTTTGAAACTCCCTAATAAAACTTGCTGGTTTTTGCGGCTTATGGGGCATCACAGATCCTACCAACGTGTGATGTCTCCCCCAGACGCCCAGCTTTAAAATTTCTCTCTTTTGTACTCTGTCCCTTTATTTCTCAAGCCAGCCAACACTTAGGAAAATAGAAAAGAACGTATGTGATTTTCGGGGCAGGTCCCCCGAAACACACCACTACACTCCATCCTGGCAACAGAGTGAGACTCCGTCTCAAAAAACAAAAAGCTATATATTTTTTAAAGTTCTATAAAAGTTATATATAATTTACTGATTAGAAGTCAACCTTTTTAGAGAGATAGTTTTACAAGTTTTGACAAGTAATATCATCATATAACCACCATCAAAATAAAGATATAGAACCTATCCACCACCCAAAATAGTTTGCTTATGTCATTTGTTAATATAATGAATTACATTATTTGATTTTCAAATTTTAGACCAACGTGGTTTTGGGGGATAAATCACACCTGGTCTTGAGATGTTGTACTTTCTCTATAGTGCTGTGCTGAATTTAATTTACTTAAATATTTAGAATTTCTGCATCTATGGTCATATAGGGATTACTCTGTAGTATTCTTTTTATGCAATGTCTTTGTCTTATTTCAGGATCAGCTAATGAGGCCTCATAGAATAAATTGAAGAACGTCACATATCTTTTTCATTTGTGGCAAAGGTTCATGGGGAAATGATATTTTCTCCCTTAAAAACATTTGTAACAGAGATATAGACCAATGGAACAGAACAGAGCCCTCAAAAATAATGGCACATATCTACAACTACCTGATCTTTGACAAACCTGACAAAAACAAGAAATGGGGAAAGGATTCCCTATTTAATAAATGGTGCTTGGAAAACTGGCTAGCCATTTGTAGAAAGCTGAAACTGGATCCCTTCCTTACACCTTATACAAAAATTAATTCAAGATGGATTAAAGACTTAAATGTTAGACCCAAAACCATAAAAACCCTAGAAGAAAACCTAGGCAATACCATTCAGGACATAGGCATGGGCAAGGACTTCATGTCTAAAACACCAAAAGCAATGGCAACAAAAGCCAAAATTGACAAATGGGATCTAATTAAACTAAAGAGCTTCTGCACAGCAAAAGAAACTACCATCAGAGTGAACAGGCAACCTATAGAATAGGAGAAAATTTTTGCAATCTACTCATCTGACAAAGGCCTAATATCCAGAATCTACAATGAACTCAAACAAATTTACAAGAAAAAAACAAACAACCCCATCAAAAAGTGAGTGAAGGACATGAACAGACACTCTCAAAAGAAGACATTTATGCAGCCAAAAGACACATGAAAAAATGCTCATCATCACTGGCCATCAGAGAAATGCAAATCAAAACCACAATAAGATACCATCTCACACCAGTTAGAACGGCGATCATTAAAAAGTCAGGAAACAACAGGTGCTGGAGAGGATGTGGAGAAATAGGAACACTTTTACAGTGTTGGTGGGACTGTAAACTAGTTCAACAATTGTGGAAGTCGGTGTGGTGATTCCTCACGGATCTAGAAACTAGAAATATCATTTGACCCAGCCATCCCATTACTGGGTATATACCCCAAGGATTATGAATCATGCTGCTATAAAGACACATGCATATGTATGTTTATTGCAGCACTATTCACAATAGCAAACACTTGGAACCAACCCAAATGTCCAACAGTGATAGACTGGATTAAGAAAATGTGGCACATATACACCATGGAATACTATGCAGCCATAAAAAATGATGAGTTCATGTCCTTTGTAGGGACATGGATGAAGCTGGAAACCATCATTCTCAGTAAACTATCTCAAGGACAAAAAACCAAACACTGCATGTTCTCACTCATAGCTGGGAATTGAACAATGAGAACACATGGACACAGGAAGGGGTACATCACACACCGGGGACTGTTGTGGGGTGGGGGAAGGAGGGACGGATAGCATTAGGAGATATACCTAATGCTAAATGACGAGTTAATGGGTACAGCACACCAACATGGCACATGTATACATATGTAACAAACCTGCACGTTGTGCACATGTACCCTAAAACTTAAAGTACAATAATAATAAAATTTAAAAAAAAGAAAAAAAAAGAAAATATTAAAGCAAAAGCAAAAACAACAAAAAACATTTGTAGTATTCACCAGAAAAAAGTTTCTAATTATATGTACTATGTCTTTAATAAATAAAAGACTATTTGAGTTATCTATTTATGCGTTGGCTTTGATCATTTGTTTCTTTTGTGAAAAGAAATTAAATTTTGGGACCCCAAACTTATTTAGCCAAAGGGAAAAGTCAAGCTGGGAACTGAGTCACGCAAACTTGACTCCACCTTTTGGTTCCTAAATAAAATGGTTAGGAGATTAAAAGCTACCCACCTTCCCCATTTTTTGCCAACAAAGAAATTCCTGGTGAGCTGTTAAAACTTAGCTGTTAAAACTTCTCCATGACAAGACTAATTGATAGTTTATCTTTACAGGTGGAGTAACCTCAGCCTGGCAGACACAAATGTACATCATATTGTTCCCCTCCCCCATTTTGTCTGTATTATCTTATGTAAAATGCAGATTCCCCACATTTTTCCTTTGCTCCTTTTGTTTAAGTGAAAACTGTGAGCTTCTCAATATCCCACCCTTTCCCCTTTAAATTTGGAGCCCTCAAAATCATCTTCAGAAAAAGGCATAGACCTGTCTCCTGGATGAGTCTTTAACTTTGGCAAATAAATCTCCAAAAATGATTGAGACTTCTCTCGTCATTTTCTTTGATTGACACTTTCAAAGAATTTGGCTATTTCATCAACGTTGTAAAATTTATTGGTTTGACAATTTTACAACATTCCCCATTATCCTTTCAGTAGTTATAAAATTTATACTGATGTCATCTCTCTCAATACTGGTATTGATATTTTGTGTTTTCTCTTTCCCACCAACTCATGATCAGTCTGGCTGGAGGTTTTTCAATTTTGTTGATCTCAAAGAACTAGCTTTGGTTTAATTGATTATATATACATATACAATATAATATACATATATATTATATATGTAATATATAATATACATATATATTATATATGTAATATATAATATACATATATATTATATATGTAATATATAATATACATATATATTATACATGTAATATATAATATATAATTTTAAGGTGTAAATTGAAGTTAATAATTTGAGATCTTTTTTATTTATATATGCATTTAGAACAAGATTTTTCTCTGTAAGTACCGCTCAAGAATAATCCCAAACATTCTGATGTTTTTTAATTCATTTTAATTTAGTTTTGAAATACTTTTAAATTTCCACTTCCAAATTTTTTGACACTAAGGATTACTATGATTCCAAATGGATATATACATTTAATAATTAGAAACTAAATAGCACAATGGCCAGATCTTTAAAACTACGTAACACAGTTTTTAAATTTCCAACCATTACTATTTGGAATTTCAATATCCATCTCTCAATAATTAACAGAACAATTAGACAGAAAATTACTAAGAATAGGGAAGATTTGAACAACACTGTCAATCAATTTGACCCCACTAACATTTATAGAACACTAATCATCAGCTAAATACATGTTTTTGAGTGCTAAATAGCACTGAAAAATTAAATTTGCTATTTAGTTTCCTCGATTTTGGATTGTTCCAGAGATTATTCTGTTATTGATTTCTAATTAAATATCATTTTGCTCAAAGAACATACCATATTTGGCTGAAAATTTGTTAAATTAATTGATATTGTATTGCCCAGAATATAGTCTTATTTGTGCAATGAACAAGATATTTAGCTGTTACAGGGTGGTGTGTTCTATAAATGTCAATTGGGGCCAAGCATGGTGGCTCATGCCTGTAATCCCGGCACTTTGGGAGGCCGAGGCAGGTGAATCACCTGGAGGTCAGGATTTGAGACTAGCCTGGCCAACATGGTGAAACTCCATCTCTACTAAAAATACTAAAATACAAAAATCAGCTGGGTGTGGTGGTGGGCACCTGTAATCCCAGCTACTCAGGAGGCTGAGGCAGGAGAATTACTTGAACCCAGGAGACAGAGGTTGCAGTGAGCCGAGATCATGCCATTGTATTCCAGCCTGGGCAACAAGAGCGAAACTCCATCTCAAAAAAAAAAAAAGTCAATTGGATCAAATTGGTTGATAGTGTTGTTCAAATCTTTATGTCTACTTGTTCTATTAATAATTGACAGAAATGTGTTAAAATTTCAAATAATATTGGTGCTTTTAAATTTCTTCTTGAATTTCAACCAGTTTTTGCTTCACATACCTGGATCTATTACTAGGTGCAAAAATTTTAGGGTCATTAGACATTCTTGATGAATTATTCACTTTATCATCATGAAATTCGTTTCTTTAGCCTGGTTGTATTTTTTTCTTCTGAAATACACTTTGTCTAATATTAAAAAAGCCACTTCAACTCACTTTTCATAGTGGTTGAATCTTAATTTTTAGTACAATCTGACAATCTCTGACAATTTTGTAACCGTTTATAGATTATTTATACTTAATTTGATTATACATATGGTTAATTTTAAATCTATCATCAGGATATTTGTTTTATAGTTATACTTCTCTTTTGTTTTTTCCTCTTTTTTTGTCATCTGAATTAATTGAATTTTGTGTTGCATTTTATTTCATTTGTTGCCATATTATAATTCATTGTTTTATTAATTTTGATGTTACCTTAAGATTTACAATATGTATTTTTAATTTGTCAGTCTACCTTTATGATGTTCACATATAGCTGAAGAAACATAAAATACATACTTCTACTTCTCTGCCAAATTTGTGCTATTGTTATGCATTTATCATTAGATATCTTTGAAGCATCCTATTATGCTGTTAATATTTTTTATTTAAGTAGTAACTTATGTTTTCAAGAGATGTAAATAAGAATAATTATGATTTTTACTTATGTAGTTTCCATTTCCAGTGGTCATCTTTTATAAAAATTAAATGCATACAGCCTTATGGTGTTAATTTTTTTATGCCCAAATAACTTTTTAAAACCTTTCTTGAATTATGGCTACTAGAGATACATTCTTTATGATTTTATACCTCTAAAAAATTTCATTTACTCTTTGTTTTTGAAATATATGTTTACTGGTCATAGTATTCTAAAATGATAGTTTATTTTTTCTTTACTACTTATAAAATGTTTCTCCATTGTCTTCACACTTGCATTGGTTTCAATGAGACATTTACCTTTATTGTTGTCTCTGTTCTGTATCTAACACTGTCTACTCTGGCTGTTTTTAAATTTTTCCAATTTGATTATTATATGATTTGATGTGATTCTCTTTTTCTTATATTTTGGAGTTCATTGAACTTTTTGGTTCTTGGGCTTATAGTTTTAATCTAATTTGTAAGATCTTTGGCAGGTATTTCTTCAAAATATATACTTTTTTTGTTTCCTCTCTTTCTTCTCTCCTTCTGGGACTATGATTACATGTATATTAAGCAACTCAAAATTTTTCTACATCTCACTGATACTATACTCATTGTTTTTATTACTGTTTTATCTCTCTTTTTTCATTTTTGATATTTTCTATTGCTATGATATCCAGTTTACTAACTTTTCTTCTGTAATATCTGATTGGTCATTAATTTTGTCCACTGTATTTTTATTTTCAAACTTAAGAGTTTTTATTGCTAGAGCTTCAATTTTTATCATTTTATGTCCTTATGTCTCTACGTTTTGAATACAGTTATTATAACTAATTTAATTTTCTTGTATGCTAATTATGATACCTATGTTAGTTCTGGATTAGTTTTGATCAATTAATATACATTCCCTTTTTAGGTCATATGTTCCTGCATTATTGTAGATCTGTAGTTTTTTTTTCGGGATTCCTATTTATTTTGCTAGCTTCACAGCATGTTTGTGTTTTCATAAATATTATTGAACTTTGCTCTGTGATGTAGTTAAGTTAATTAAAAATAGTTTAATCCTTTTGACTGACTTGCAATTTGCTAGTTCTGAGTTGAGCCCAAAAGCTTGGGGCTAATCATTCTCCACTGAGTTAAAATCTCTCTATAAACTCTATCTAGTGCTCCACAAATCTTGAGATTTTACAGTTGACTTGTGGAATAGGCACGATTCCAGCTTAGCTTGAATCCCTGGTGCTGTTGTCTCTAGTTCTATCACATAGTTCTTTCTCTTACCCAAATGGTTTATTCACACATGTGTGTTCATTAGTACTCAGGCAAATACTCAAGGGCTAATCTCTACACACATATACAGGTCTCTATCTATCTAATCTAGTGCTGCATCCTGCATACTCTAGATTACTAGGTTTTCCTAGAATCTCATTTTAATCTCCCGGACTAAAGGAATGCACTGGAGTCTACCTGGGTTCTTTCCTCTCACACCACATACAAGGGCCATTTTTATAGCAATCCATTAGAACTATTATAGCCTTCATCTTATTTGTTTTCTCTATATATCTCTGAAATTACTGTCATTTTTGTCTTATTTCCTCAAATTGACCATGTTTTTTTTTTTGTAAAAAAAGAAAAGCTATTGATGTCTAATAAATTTTATGCAGAATATAGGCACAGAAACATAAATGATTTAAATCAGAAAAACAAAAAAACTAATGAAGTAACTGTTTCAAGTTACTGGAAATCTCCTATAACCTACATGTGTATTTTTGGTGCAATTAAGATTTTCTATAAGAAAGGAACAAATTATTCACCATTGGTTTCAACTTACTTTTTTCAAAGGGATATATAGAAAAGTTTGTTGTTTATAGGTACTTGTTTTTTTCTGAGAAAAAATTTCACTTTTATCATGGCATTTTTTTAAGTTTAGAAATATGTAAATATGTATTTGTTTATAATCTGAAAGATTTTTCAAATGTTCTATAAGGGAGACCTTTTGTTTCTAGTTAAATATAAAAATTCCATCCAGATCATCTCTGTTAAAAAAGATGTCACATTGATTATAGAAAGAGCAAAGCCTGTATCAATTATGATAACCCATCCTCTTAATGCTTATGGTATGAGGTAGAATTATTATACTTTAGGTTACTCTAGATTATTTGAAGGTACATGTTATTTGATTTTTTTAAAAAAAATCTTATCAATAGAGCTACTGTAAAGAGTTTTGAAGAGCATTATCTCAATAACATAACTCAAATGAAAACATTTTACATTTGAAATAGTAATAAATGTTTAGTAAATGATCATGGAACATTGAGACTTAAGAAATTCTTAAAATTTGCTTTTGATTGTGTTGATTTCTCATTTAACAAAGTATTCTAACTTCCTTTAGCAAGCTTTCTTATAAGTTATACATTAAGAAGTAACCTACTGAATGGAACAATGAGTGATATAATAGATTTGGAAGAAAATTAAGGAGGTGAACAGGAAGACTGTAAGCCAAAGGAAGTATGACAAATTCATAAGATAACCTAAACCATAATTTTGTGCCCAACTCCGACATCATCATAATTAGTGTTTATGTGGATTATTCTGCATTCTACATCCTATAATGTACTTTGGATCAGTAGATGCTAAATTATTTTCAGCAAGGTATTGGTGTTAATGGTTGTATCTTGCACCATTTTGCAACACGAATAGCTATTCCCTGATTTTGTTAAGGCAGAAAATTGCCCATTACAAAGGAATAGACCATATGTCAAGACATGGTACTCCAGCAGCCAATTTCAGTAATTATTTAAAATTAAGGACATTATATAAGGCACAGGACAATATGACATACAAGAATGCTGTAGGCTTCTGGGAAAGTCATTTCATTTATGATAAGGAATAGAAATATGTGACGTGAAGCCTCTCTTGCTAACAACTCTTTTCTTCCTTCTTTGAAGACGGATGTTTTAAGGAGGTATGGTGTTTTAGGCTGCAGCAGCCATAGTGTAACCATAACGGGATAGTCAACCAATGCACTGAAAATGGCAGAGGGGCAAGGCTAAAGGATTCTGGATCCTTGATAACACTGATAATCATAATGCCTACCTCTAAACTCTTTCTTAAAGCACATTATCATGAGTATTCTCATTAATTCAGGCCACAGAACTTTGGATTTTTCTCCTAAATAATAAAATTATATGTAATTTTTATATTTTGAAAACTAGTAATGCCTGTGTGTTAAAGAAGGAAACTAAGCATATACCAGAGTAGTTGATTAACTAGAATGTCTTATTCCCTCTACTTTCTATAGAAAATAATTTTGACTTCTCTTTCCTTTTACTCTTGGTGCTCAAAAGATTCTGTGGATTTTTTTTTTCTAAAACTGACAAATACTAGAATAATTTATTTCTTAAATTTACGGATAACAAAGCCATTTCTGTTGAGTTACTAATTAGGCTCAGATTAGGATCCATGAATCTGTATTTTAAGAAACTTTCAAATAGAAATGTTTGTAACAGGAACTTGAGAGACATGAGTCTATTATAAAGCAACACCTCTTTATCTGTAGGATCTCAGATTAATGTGGGTTCCTTAAGAGCTGGGTACTTAGCTCCATTCCCTTGGGAGTATAGACAAAGGTTTTTTAGCCAACAATAATATTTTGAAAAGCCTGAGGAGCTATGTAATTTTGAGTAGATTACTCAAATTTGTGCAAGATGCAGACACATGGTGACAGCTATGGACAGAAGACTATTAGGTTCCTATAGCTGTCTGGGCAGGTAAATCCGATTTCTCCTCTACAAGTCAAAAGGAGGAGAGAAAGCCCTGAAGTTTTCAGATATTGGTTTTTCTAACTTTGCCATCTACGAAATTGTCAGACTTAATAAAAATGATGTATTTTTATTATTGTAATCAAATTATAAAAAATTTCAAAATAAAAGTGTATCATTATGCATTTTGCATATTGCATGGAGTGCTTTTGTGTACTTAAAAAAAAGTAATATAGAATCAAATTGGGTCCAACATCACACAAAGTAAGCAAATTGACCTTTATAATATGCATGTTTATATGAATCCACTGTCCTCTATCCAAAACCTGTGGAGTCCAGTGAGTTCAAAACCCCAGATTTAGAATTTGGACCATGTAATCTATATTATATAATATCTCCATCTGGAACTGGAACGGCAGTTCATAATTACATATACTACTGTTGCTGCAGTGAAACATACAATTATTCAAAGTAAACGGGAAAGTTACCCTATAAATATTTTCATGTCAGTTTAAATCATGTTCTCTTGGTTTTCTTTCCCCAAAATAAGTTACAACGTGTCATTTACTTCCTTTCTAGAGCCTTTTGGACATTGGGGTTTTTCATAAGGGATTATGGACCTGTATCTGTGTCAATCAGGACTCTCTTACAAAATCTACTGACAATATAATATTTTTACTGGTTACTTAATGTACTCTACCTATTTTATAAGAAAATAGGACAGTGATCAGATTAATAAAATATAGATCAGTCTGCATAAAATGTATGGCATATATTAGTAGAGGAAGGGATAAAAAAACATAATTAAGGATTAGCACATATTAATGGGAAAGGGATAGAGCTCGATTCAGAGAAAGGGAAACCTGAGCCAATGTTTCTGACCCCTTGCTTTATCAGGATATCCTAGTTAAATTCCTCAGGAAACCAATTCTATCCTATTGGAGCCAACCCTTGGATCCTGTGAGATAGCATTAATAAAGCTGTTATCCTGAGAATTCCTGAAAAAGTTCCAGGTATAATAATGCCTGCTTGCGCCTCCAATTAAAGCTTAGTTGCTTAATACAGTGGTCCCCAACCTTTTTAGCACCAGGGACCGGTTTTATGGAAAACAAATTTTTTATAGACAGGGAGCAGGAGGGATGATTTCTGGATAAGTGCATTACATTTATTGTGCACTTTATTTCTATTATTATTACATTGTAATATATAATGAAATAATTATACAACTCCCCATAATGTAGAATCAGTGGGAACCCTGAACTTGTTTTCCTGCAACTAGATGGTCCCTTCTGGGGGTGATGGGAGACAGCAAGAGATCATCAGGCATTCAATTCTTATAAGGAACATGCAACCAAATCCCTCTGACATGCAATTCACAATAGGGTTCATGGTCCAATGAGACTCTAATGCCATAGCCAATCTGATAGGAGGCAGAGCTTAGGCAGTAATGGGAGCAATAGGGAGCAGCTGTAAATACACATGAAACTTTGCTAATTCACCCACTGCTCACCTCTTGCTGTGCAGCCCAGTTTCTAGGTTTCTAACAGGCCATGGACCAGTACCCGGGGTTGGGGACGCCTGGCTTAGCATGTTATTCTTTGTTTTGCAGATTCTGAGAGGATACCACCAAATCCACATTTTCAAGGGTATGTGACATGGGGGGGGGATGAAGGTGACATCACAATTATCTCTAGGAATAGGGAAAAGACAACCCTCTAGCCACCTAATGCAAGTAGTTCTGAAAGTGGCTGGCTCTTCTCGTTCATCAAGGGAGCGTTAACAGCAATTTGCAGTGTAGTTCTTAGACAATGATTCTCCAAGTGTGGTCTTTGGACCAGCAGCTTTGGCATCACTTGGTGACTTACAAGAAATGTACATTCTTGGACCCTACTCTAGACCCTCTGATTTAGAAACTCCAGGATGTGGCCTAGCAATCACTTTTGGCAAGCCTTCTAGTCAATGATATTCTATCCCCGTTTACATTTGAGAAAGCCAGCAACTTGTTCTTTATCTCTCCTTCACACATGCACCAGAGGTGAAAGGCCCAGCCAGCCAGTCTAATGTTTTCTAGGCCATGATTCTTTCTACCTCTTGTGAAACTACCACTGCCATAGAAACTCTGAATAACCTGGCTTGCATAAATTTTGAGAGACGTTTGCTTGTGAAAACAAGTAAGCAGCGGAAGATCACAAGTCGTTAAAGAAGGATATAGGCAATGAAAAGAGAAATCAAGATGACCTGGAACAGGTGGAAACCATAAGGACATAATTAATTGGGGTAAACCATAGAAGAACAATAAAATATGAACTGTTAAACATGACTAAAATCACATATACAGCATTTTTGTAACTGGAAAACACATTTTCTAAATATTGACTATTACAATAAATTGATCATGAGATTGGGTCCTATTGAAACTATATGCACTTGAGTCAAAATATGGCCCCATCATATACACTTGTAAACCAAGACCCTCTATTCAAATATTTCCTAATCATTTTGCAATGAATTTTAATTGCTAGTGTATATTCTTGATCTTGTGCAATATGACAGAAATTTCACAAACAACTTATATTTGGAAAGGTCACCAATGAGACTGTGATTGTTGCATAAAATATTTTCACTTTGTTGAACTAGAAAAGAATAAGCTAGGTCAGTTCCTTAAAATTTCATGCGATCTTAAATTTGAATTATTTAAAAAATAGATGTCTATTTTGAAATTAATGAAAAAAAGGCTTGAGGGTTTAAAAATTCCATTTTAAATTAATATTGAATTTGTAAATTTATACTGGAAAAAGTGGACTTTTTTTAAAAGCATAGCCAAAAACAAGACATCAACAATTTTATTCATAACAAAAGATGTTTACCAAAGTTTAGCTGAAAAGTGAACATTTTAAAATTCTCTCAGCCCATAAGGAGCAGACATTCTCAAATAGTGAGACTGTCGTAGTCCTAAGTATAAAGGCAGCCCACTACGGAAAATTTTCTTTTTAAAGAAATTTGAGGATTAAAAATCATACCAAAATAACAAAAACAAAACCAAAACTAAAAAAAAAAAAAAGGAAGTAGTAATTATAAATAGCATTTTACTGGAAAATAATGTTATTCTAAAAGAGTTTTCTCTCATATTCTGTTGCTCTCATTTTGCTCGTAATGCTTCTGCTGAAAGTCTAGTTTGATTGAAAGTCAAAATTTGTGCAAGTCAAGTTACTCAGTTATATGCAACAACTCATCATTTATCCATCATTACCCAGGAACTGAGATTTCAAAGTTAAATTCTCCAGAGTCCCAACACTTTAAACAACCACAGGTAAAATATTTCTAAAACATTTTTCATGCACAATAACGTTGGCTAATGCCTTACAATTATTTCTCTTTTATGTAATATGACAATGCCTTTGAAAAAAGTCTGGCCAATGAATCAGTTTGCTGAATGTTAAACTAAGTCGGTATGCTGTGGTTTTTAGGCCTCTTATCATGATTTTAAACCTTTTCTATTTTGTCCTTTGCTGAGCTATCATTATTAACTCTAATTCATTGCCAAAAATAGATAACAACTTTATAGGAATTAGTATAATGTATATTTTGATTATAGGTTTTGAGTGTTTACTTGAAACTAAAGCATACAGACTTTTTATAATAACTCTGAAGTTTTCATTTTAGTGTTTTGAAGGATACTCAAAGTATTTCCACTTATTTCCACATTATTCTCTTTTTTATGAGAAGTTTAGGGTACTGGAAAGCTTTTGGATAAATAAATGTTAAAGTATTTCAAAGGCCCCAAATGAATTACATAAATACTTCCTAGAAATTTTAGTAATAATCAAGAAATAATCAATTTGGAATACTAATATGTCAGTAATAGTCTAGAAAATATATTTTCAAATGCTTTCTCATTTAAATAATTTACTATATCTTGAAACTCACAGTAAATCCATGACACAAAGTGAAGTAAAATTAGAAATATATACAAACCAGCAAAAAATAAATAAAAAATCCAAGTATCCATAACATGTCAGTTCTTCTTCAATTCCCTTAAAAGGGTAGCTGAAAAGAGTTTTTATGTGATATTTCACTTGAGTTTGGGAGGCACCGATATGGTTTGGATGTAGGACTCCTCCAAATCTTACCTTGAAATGAACCCTCCAGTGTAGAAAATGGACCTAGTGGGAGTTGTTTGGGTCATAGGAGCAGATCCCTCATGAATGGTTTGGTGCTGTCCTTCCCTTTGTAATGAGTGAGTTCTCAGTCTGTTAGTTCACATGAGAACTGGTTGTTTAAAGGAGACTGGCATACCCTCCTCTCTCTTTCTCTCTCTTGCTCTTTCTCTATGTGACCCACCTGCTCACTCTTTCCCTCCCATGGTAAGTAAAAGCTTCCTGAGGTCCTGACCAGAAACAGATGCTGGTGCCATGCTTCTGCTATAGCCTACGGAACAGTGAGCCCCAAAAAACTATTTTTAAAGTAAATTACCCAGCCTCAGGTATTTCTTTAGTGCAATGCAAAACAAACTAACACAAGCTCCAAAACTTCTCAGGCTTAAGACACAGGCTTTCTAAAAGATTGGCACCTAATTATAGGATTATATAATGCTTCCTCTCAAACATTACCACTGAATCAATAGGAAATCTGTACTTCACTCAGTTTTTCTGTAAACCTAGAACCGCACTAAAGAATAAGGTATATTAATTTTATCAAAGGAAACAAAGCACCATACACTTTAATCCAGAATTTATTTAGAACACAGAAAAAGGATCTATAAGAAGAGCAGAGCTGTGAACATAATATATAGTATAATATGTACGCTAGCATTAACGTAACATTTAGAGGGAGTGCTCTATATGACACACATATTGCATCTTATGGCTCCTGTACATGCAGCCAGAACATTACTTTGTACTTTTAATGCATTTTGTTGCTCAATAGCCGTAAAGAAGAGTGCATAAAAATCATTTTTTCTCTGTTTGAAGATAAGAAGTTTGGAACTGTAAGCTAAAATGTGGTTTAGTAATTATTTGGAGATTTGGATGTTTATATTCTCTGTCTCCAGTGAATAAAATATATATGTTTTAGTGCTCTAAATAATGAAAATGTTGAGTTTTTTGTTGTTTGTCTTTTGCTATTTTGCATGAGAAACACTCATTTAAAAGCCAGGTAGCAGACAATTATAGAACTTCCATATTTAAACCAAAATATTCAGGCACTAGTACCTTTCATAAATCTGTTTATTTTCATGCAGAATAGCTTTAGCCAGAACTCCATGTAAATAAATACTATGAAAGCACATATGCTTTGGACTGAAAAAAAGAAAACTACAATAAAACACATTTCCTTAAGAGTCACCACTATCTTCAGATTTAAAAATTGTTATATTTATTCACTTACAGGAAAGAAAAGAGAAACAGGACAGAATACAAACAAACAAAAAGAATTCCCTGATCCTTAATTTGACACAGACAAATAACTTTTACAATTGTTTGGGGGATATTATATCCATTCATTACTGCAAAATAAAATTGGTTCTTTAGGAAAAATGAATTGTGCTCAAAACCTTGACCATCCTATTTAACACCATGAAAAACTTCATATTAAACCTGTTCGGGTCCTTCCAAAGAAACTGAGAAAAATAGTGTGAAGTCTTAACTATTTATTTGTGGTGCTCCTAGAAAAGGAAAGAGGATGTTTGCTGGTCACAATCACAATGACTGACGCTTGTTTCTTAGCTCAGCTGTAAATGAGCTAAAATGATTACCAAAGAGTAAATATCCCACAGAAACCACTGGGTTTAAGGTGCAGACATGAGGAGAGAGGTAGAACATCTCAAATGGAGACAGAAGGTTTAAATCAGCAGAGCATTTGGTCCCATCAAATACTAATTTAAGGTATGAATCTAAAACGTTTATAAGACAAAGGTCAACCCTAAAATTTTGCAATATAGAAGGAAAGAAAATGCTATCTATATTCCAGGTAACACTTGGACTTTGAAGAGTCTAATTTAGCTTTTTAAGTGGCTGCTGAAAAATATCTCCATCTCTCTAGGTTATTCCCTTTGTTCTGAGACATGACGGTACTGGATAAACTTAAGAAAAATAAGATGTTGAAACATTTCAAAAGCCCCAAAATGTATTAGACGAATGTCTCCTAGATATTTCAAAAATGGTCAAGATATAATAAAAATTTGCAATCATCTTGGCTCACCCAAAACAAAGGACAATATTAAAATATGAATTACCCAATAAAACTAAGAAAAAATAAAGACAAAATTTTAATAATCTATTGACTTTCTTAGAGTTTATTTACATTTGAGTAAAAGTAGCCTAAGGGAGAGTGAGTGAGGGACAACAAATGATAGGCCTGCTTAATGTTAGAGTCCCATAATATGGAATGCTCCAGTGTGCCCAGAGAGAATTTGGTCCACTACAGGGGTCTCAAATGCTCTTTCATTCCTTATTTACACACGTACACACAACACACACACACACACACACACACACACACACTGATGCTTCATTATCTATTTGAAGGCCATATCTGCACCTAATGACCTTACTCTATTACTTGTTCTATTACATCTTCTATAAAAATTTGCTATGTTTATAAATGTGCCAGCAAAATGATTGTGTAAAATCAGATTTAGTGTTCATTTCATAAAACCACAGATTAAAAATTTATGTTTATCTTATCAAGTACTTTTTCTTCTGGTTGTGTTCTAATATAAAGAGAAGTTGGCCAGACTCAATCTAATTAATGGCTGAAGTTAATCAAGACAAGTTTTCTAAGACCTTTAGTCACACAAGGAAAAGAAAGGTATGTTTGACAAATGAAAGTTATATTAACTTCTCAAATCCCTCATTTTTCAGACTTTTTATAGGATTAGTAATCTTGCAAATGATCTTATTTTATTTTGCCTTACTTCCAGCTGTTCTGGGGTGAAAATACCTAAGTGTCTATGATTATAGACAGCAAATATTTTATTGGTCTAATTTTTATTTATAGAAATACAAAGAAAGCACTCTGCTTATTACAATATTCCCTTTAAGCAAGGTTGCATGTAAGTAAAACTGAATGTTGTGTGTTGCCTTTCCCAGCAGATCTTGCAATTTAGAACTCATTTCAACTACTGAAGCCTCTACTCATATATCGAATATCACTGAAATGGGCCACTCATTAAAATGTTTTCTCTCAGCTAGGCTTTAGCTTTTGTATGGCAAAGTATCCTTAAATAAATGAACAACTAAATAAGCACCCTATATTCTTATGTACAAATGTTCAAAATAACGAAAAAAATAGAGAATCAAAAACATTGGTATAAGTAATGGATGAGTAAAACTACAGCCTCAGTTAGTTTGATATAAAACAACAACAAAAAATTACTATTATTTTACTGTCTAGGAAAAGTCAATTGGGTGAAGTGTAGAACATAAACAGGTGTCAGGCAAATCTAAGTTTGAATCTCAGCTCTACTTTGGGCTTTAGTAACGTTACTTTCTCACTTGGATCCTGTCTCCTTGGTCATCAAATGACTATATAATCTAGCTCTTGTGAGGGGCAGAGGAGATAGCAAACAGAACCAAAATTATACCGGTAAACAACTAATCAGAAACAAAACTAAGTAAAATGTATTAGACACCACAGGATGTTGAACTGCGACAGAGAAGAAAATTTTGAATCAATCACAGTAAATACAAAAGATAAAAAACTGAATAGTGGAGAAGGTGATTTCTCTGTAGCACAAATAGAGATAAACCCAAAGGATAACTAGACAGGCAGAGACAGAAAATTTAACAAATAATACAGAAAAAGTATTCAATGCTGTAATGCAGATTTTCATGATGCATAAGTACTATGTTTTTAGATGAAAAAAATACAATGTGTTTCGGAAAATGATGCAATTAAAATCTATAGTGAAGTAATTATATTTTAAACAGGATAAAAGAGAGTCAGAATTCTCAATAGCAAAATTAAATTTCAGAAGACAATACAACCATATATAGATATCAAAGAAAAATAAGTGTGATCCTAGAATACTAGAACAAGGCACATTTGCATTTCAGTTAAAAATAATGAGGAAAAGCTGGGCGCCATGGCTCACACCTGTAATCCCAGCACTTTAGAAGGCCAAGGAGGGCAGATCACAAGATCAAGAGATCCAGACCATCCTGGCCAACATGGTGAAACCCTCCCTGTCTCTACCAAAAATACAAAAATTAGCTGGGTGTGGTGGCGCGCGCCTGTAGTCCCAGTTTCTCAGGAGGCTGTGGCAGGAGACTCACTTGAACTGAGGAAGGGGAAGTTGCAGTAAGCCGAGATTGCGCCACTGCACTCCAGCCTGGTGACAGAGCGAGACTCTGTTTCAAAAAAATTAAATAAAATAAAAAATAATAATAATCAGGGGGTCAAAGTTCCTGGGCAAACAATAGAGAACACAGAATCTACAATCGCTCAAAAAATGATTTGATAGGACCAGGCGCGGTGGCTCACGCCTGTAATCCCAGCATTTTGGGAGGCTGAGGTGGGCGGATCATGAGGTCAGGAGATCAAGACCATCCTGGCTAACACGATGAAAACCCCTCTCTACTAAAAATACAAAAAATTAGCCGGGCATGGTGGCACGTGCCTGTAGTCCCAGAGAAAGGAGAATCGCTTGAACCTGGGAGGCAGAGGTTGCAGTGAGCCAAGATCGTGCCACTGCACTCCAACCTGGGCAACAGAGTGAGACTCCATCTAAAACAAAACAAGACAACAAAACAAAACAAAACAAACAAAACAAACTTGATAATGAAATCTATCCAAACAGGCAAGATTCAAAATTTAGCACTGGAAAATGGAAATGATATACTTAAAAAGCAGGTGTCATCCTTTTGATACATGGAAATAAAAAATTAAGTGTAAGTGCCTATGGTGATTATTTTCTTAGCAGAAATCTAAATGTTATACACCCAAAGAATTTCAAATGTTAACCTATTTGAATAGTAAGTTTAAAAATACAATCAGGAAAGAAGATGAGAGAATGTAGCCAATTTATAATTTTCACAATCTTCCATACTATCTAAATGTAAACTAGTAATTCAAATATTACTAACATAAATTTCACAATTATTTCTATAACTTGAGAGGTTAATTAGAAAAAGATATATTAGGAAAAATAATATTCTTTACATTAAAAGAACCATTTATAAGCATATCTTCAACTGTTTCTTTTACCTCGTTCAATCCATTAACATTAATATTTTCACTTTTAAAAAATTAAACATAGCAAATATGTTCTCCTATTCAAATAGCATCTTATCTTGTTTGCATATTGCATAGATATTTTAGATAATATTTACATAGTGTTAATAATAGTTATTTTATGTTCTGTCACTCTGGATGACTTTTATTCGTGTCTTCTACCTTGGCTGTATTGTCTCAATTGCTTTTACCGAATGTATTGTTTTCACTAAAACTTTTTAAATGACCAGTTTTCTTTTAAAAGTATTTTAAAAGCCCCATCCACACAAAAAGATAATGTAATAATTTATTACTGTGTCAGACATTTAGCCATCTATAAATAGAAACAAATATTAGTATATTCTAATATTAGTAATTGTTTTGACTAGTATCACTCTGTTTTCTTCATACAGATATTTTAACATATCATGCTGAATTATTGGCTTTTTAAATACTTGACTACTTTATTAGATTGTCAGCTATCAGAGGAAAGATATTTTATTTCTGTATCCTGAAAATTTAGCACAATGTCTGTCCAAAGAGACTTTTATTTAAAAAAAGCAACAACTAAACCATGCATTAAAAACACAGAAACAGAGAAGGGAGAAGTGGGAATAAAAATGATAGTATATTTTAAAATAAAAGTCCTATTTTTTAAACACTAGGTAAAGTAGGGGACACCTTCAGCTCAGAACGCAGCCTTAAATATATCTAGTACACCTGTTTGTCCAACCCTATTCAATTATGCACCATCTGTTCGAGAAATACTTATTGTGAACACAACCCGTTTTCTGCACTGTGCTATATGACGAAATCAAAGTGCTTCCCAAGAGTCTATGTTTATGGCTGTTTAATAAATTTTTTTTTATAATTATACTATTCAGTATAGCATACTCTACTTGCACATCTGAACATATAGTAAAATGAAGCATTGGTAGGGTTTTTCATTACCAAAAACTGAAAGCACTGACATTTTTATTTCCAAATCCAGTGCTTACTCTGGTATTAATAGATTGTTTTACCTTTCTCCAAATGCTGTGAGTTAACAAACAAAAAAACAAACACACAAACTTGGCTTACATTGTACAATAGTGAATTAAATCTGGAAGAAAATATAAGGGAAAGGAAAAAGATGAAGAATTTACCACAGAGTAAAGAGAAGTACTGGAACCAAAGATAATCTGAATAGATAATATTTAATGATAAATATGAACTATAAAAATACATATTAACTGAAGACAGATTTAAATGTTTAAGTACAAATTTTATTTAAATTGCAGCAATTTCTGACCATAGTCTACAAGCACCAAGGATAGGTGATTGATGACAATGCATTTCTTTCTCATTACTTCCTTCAGGGTCCTTCTCAGAAAGGACTTTACATTTTTTTTTCATGAGTTAAATGTGACGCAGAAGCAATGTCTTCCCCCATGAACTTGTCCTGGGTGCAGCTTACTCTCTCAAATCTAAGCAGTTTGTGGGAGGCTTATACCTCTAGAGACTGAGTGGTCCCACCTGCTCTGCAGAGGTATTGTCTGTCATCTGGCAGCTGAAGAACATCTGTGGCTCAGCTGTGAGACCTACAGGGAGTTATTCTGTGAGCTGAAGTTTTTCAAAATAAAGAAAAGGCAACTTTTCAGACTTAAAATAAGTCTCCCAAACTTCAGGAAGTCTTAGGGTGGGAGAATGGAGTACAGAGAAAGAAATAGAAGAAGAAATAGATAAGCTAAGCAAGGAATGAGAAAAGTGACATAGTCAAGCAAAACAAAGTCACAGCAAACACAATGGAAAACTAGAAGGTATAGAAAGAGCAACACACAATGAAGGAAAACTTAGGTGGCAAGCCAAGACTTTTTCTTTTAAATCCCTGACTACAGCCATCAGTGTGTTTTTAAGTAGAGAAAGGCAATGTTCTTTTTCCAGCTCTGCAGGCCTATTTTCAGAGCTTCACACTAAATTGACTCTAAGCATTCAATTTAAAAGACACATAAGAACGCTTGGAGTCCGAATTCAAAGATGAACCAAAAGGGCCATCTCTTTATTTTAAAAAACATGAAGTTCTCCAAATTTGAGGGCAATAGGTAAGTCTGTTTAGGTCACTTTTCCTCTCTCACTAGGAGGCTATTTGTTAGAACGCTTGGTTTTCTGATTTTTTTGCCCAGGAAAATAGAGTTCAGCCAGTGAAAAGCATGATGTTAAAAAAAAAAGTACAATGTTGCTTTAAATTCTTTAAATGCTCATGAGAAACTATACAAATTCATTTTGCAGACATGTTTTTATCTCTTTGCAATAGAAATGGAAAATTGCACTGAGCTACTTAAAAACAGCCCCACTGAATGGAACTTGTTATATAATAGAGCTACTTTCAAAGGTACCTTTGTATAGTTTATGGCTACCAACAGTCGTTAGTGTTGTAGATAGCATAGATAGAATTGAAGGCCAGTATATATTTAAGGATAAATATATATATAAGGATATAATTAGATATATCTAAAGATATTTAAGAATATAATTACTGAGTAGCAATTACAAGCGAAACTCTGCTCATTACTAAGAATGAAAAGAAGGAATATAAATACTGTCCTTGGTCTTAAGACATTTGAAATAGAATTGCTTTACATCTATCACGATATATCACTACAGTTACTTTATTTAGAAGGTACTGAAGAAATTAAAATAAAAAAGAATAAATGCTTTATTGTTTAGCATTAGAAAGATTCCACAATATATTGGCCAACGTGTATAATAGAATCTCTGCTTCTTAAACCATAAAAAATAGATTAATGTATATTAAGAATCACTCTGTTATATTTCTTTTTCTCCAATTTTTTAATTGTGGTATTATATACATATTACCATCTTACTTTATTTTTCTTTTCTTTTCTGAAATGGAGTCTCACTCTGTCGCCCAGACTGGAGTGCAATGGCATGATCTTAGCTCACTGCAACCTCCGCCTCCCAGGTTCAAGCGATTCTCCTGCCTCAGCCTCCTAAGTAGTTGGGATTACAGGTGCAAACCACCACACTTAGTTAATTTTTCTATTTTTAGTAGAGACGGGGTTTCACCATGTTGGTCAGGCTCATCTCGAACTCCTGACCTCGTGATCTGCCCACCTAGGCCTCCCAAAGTGTTGGGATTACAGGCGTGAACCACTGGGCCTGGCCCCCATCTTTCCCATTTTAAGCATACAGTTCAGCAATATTAATCACACAATATTCATAATGTCATAGAACCATCACTACCATCCATCTCCATAACCATTTCATCTTGTAAAACTGCAACTCTCTACCTTTTAAACAATAACTCCCCATTTTCCCCTTCCCCCAGTCTCTGACAGCTACTATTCTTTCTGTCTTTATGACTTTTACTACTTTATTAACTCATATAAGTGAAATCATATAGTATTTGTCTTTTTGTGTCTGACTTATTTCACTTAGCATTAATGTCCTCAAGGTTCATTCATGTAGTAGTGTATGCCAGAGTTTCCTTCCTTTTAAGGCAAAGAATAGTCTGTTGTATGTGTATTTCACATTTTCCTTTCCATTCATACCTCCATTGACACTTGGACTATTTCTATATTTTTAGGTATTGTAAATAATTCTGCTATAAACATGGATGTACAACTATCTTAAAGGCCTTGTTTTTCATTTTGGGGGGTATATAACTAGAAGTGAAATTGCTGGTTATTATAGCGATTCTATTCTTACTTTTTTGAGAATCTACCATTATGTTTTTCATAGAGGTTGTGCCATTTTACATTCTACCAACAGTGCTAAGGGGTCCAGTTTCTCCATATTCTCAGCAACACTTGTTACCTTCTGTTTTTTGATTGTTTGTTTTTATAGTGGGCATCCTAATGGGTGTCAGGTGATATCACATCGAAGTTTTGACTTGCATTTTCCCAAGGATTAGTGATGTTGAGCATCTTTCCATGTGGTTCTTGGTCATTCTTATATTTTTTTTTTGGAGATAAGAGCATGGGTTTAAATTACATAGGGAAATTCAAAACCTATTTGTCACTTGTCATCCCTATGTTTTGAAATCAATCTCCCTAAACTCCATGTCCCCCAAATGTGAACAGAGTGTGTTCACTTTGTCTCAGAGAGTTGCCACAAGTGTTCCATGAAATAAAACATTTATTACTATGCTTGACTATAAATATTTATTGAATTTGAATGAATGATATCTATTTTTAATCATGTCTACAAGACTCTAAAGTCTAGATTCAAAATATTAGCTTCATAATATTTAATTATAGAGTGCTATATTTTTCATTTTGATAGATGTAATTTATCTAAGAAGGTTATATTAAATAATATTTGGGGGATAAAGGGTTAAAATGAACTTAAAAGAAATTTCCTCTTGTTAAATCTTTCAAATATGTTCTTTTTTTTCCAAAAACAAAAACCAAGCTGGAAATTGTGATTTCGATCCAATTTCTAATATAAATTGTTATCACAGAAGCAAAACTTACGAAATTAAAGATTACTTGTTCTTCTATTACATAGGCATAAAACACTGAAGTTGTTTTGTTAATTACTATATAATAACTAGTACAAATCCAGTATACTAAAACCTAAAGTACATAGAAAGACAGTAAAGCATGGAAAAGTAATAAAATAATTAGAGATTAAGTGGTAAAAAAGATTGCTGTTATAATCTGCTAATAATGGATGATCCCTCTTTTTTTCTTAAAGGTAAGAACCAGGAACTTGATCTTTCTGTTCCTCGTGTTTCTCACAATGTTTGCACTTGGACCTTGTTCAGTGTTTCTTGGATGCGACAATGAAATCATTTCCATAATGTCAACTCTTAATTTAATAGAATACCTTAGACTAGATAATAACTATATCCATAACTTTCAGGTTTTGGTCTAAAATAACACATATGTTATTATTTGAATGGGCATAATTATCTGCCACTTATATATCTTACTTAATAACACAGAAACTGCTACAATGATGCAGATACACTTGAAATTCAGGTATACTCTCTGTTAACAAATATGATAATTACAATCAAAATAATTAAAGACAGATTGAGGAATAAGATAATGATATTACTCCTTATAAAATTATATTGTTTTCTTTTTAGCCCCATATACATTTTGTTCTATTGATTTTGGAATTATACTTTCTTTATAACAATTTATATTATCTTTAGTGATTGGTATTGAAGTTTTGCTGTGCGTATTTCTGACTACAACTGTTGCTCAAGAGGGTTTTGCTATTAGTTTAATTGTCATTCCTTTTTAATTGAAGTATGTTTAATCTCTGGCTCCCATCAAGATGTTTAGGTCCTTGAACATCTTTACAGTGTGGACTTGTTTTATTTATTTATATTTTAGAACTGCTCTATCAAAATATATCTACATATAAAAAGCTATACCTATGTAATCTATACAACTTGATAAATTTGGGGATAAGCATATAACCATGGAACCATTATTATGAACTATGCTATAAATACGTCCATAACCTCCAAATGTTTCCTCCTGTGAAAGAAAAATAACTCTTGGGGCCCCCAAATTTCCCCTAAGCTAAAGGGAAAAGTCACGCTGGGAACTGTTTAAGACCATCCTGCCTCTCATTCTATTATTCAAAGTCACCCCTCTGCTAACTGAGACAAATGCATATATGATTACTTCCTTTGGAGAGGCTAATCAAAAACTCAAAAGAATGCAACCAGAGATGCAATTTGTCTCTTATCTACCTATGACCTGGAAGTCCCCTCCCTGCTTTGAGTCTTCCTGCCTTTGCTTTGAGTTGTCCCCCCATTCCAGACTGAAGCAATGTTAATCTTGAATGTGTTGATTGATGTGTCATGTCTCCCTAGAATGCATAAAACCAAACTGTGGTCTGACCACCTGGGGCACATGTCATAAGGACCTCGTGAGGCCGTGTCACAGGCATAAGTCCTCAACTTTGGCAAAATAAGCTTTCTAAATTAACTGAGACGTGCCTCAGATTTTCAGAGTTCACATTTTGGTAACCATAGAGGGATTCTGAGTGGAGATACCCCTGATTTTGACAAATATCCTAACAGTGCTTGATACCAACATGAGCTGACTTTATAGCTCAAACCAATAAGATAATTTGCTGAGGTCTAACAGCACCCCCTCCAGAGAATCTCTGATTTCCGAAAATTTGGTCAAGATCTAAAGTTTATTTTGCTGTATAACTCCTCTTTTCCTGGAGTTTTACTTGCTTCCAACAAAGAAGGCAATATTTCCTGTTTTCATGATAATAGAAGGTAAATAACTCCTTCATGGAGTTTGAGCACTTCCAACAGGGAAAATGAGGTTTTTTTTTTTTCTTTTTTTTCCTGCTTCTAGAATGGTAGAGAGCAGTCTATAGCCTGAGACCCATCCCTAGGTAAGTAACTGAATTGGGGTTTCTCTTGGCTAAAGTGAATATTAACAACCAAATGGCTTTAATTTCTCCTTACCATTAGAGCACTCAGTAATCATATAAGTTGTGCGATCATTTATTTTTGCTTAACTGTTTTTTGTTGTTTGTTTCTGTTGTTGTTTCAGTCTTTTTCCCATTGGGTTTCACCAACTCTATTTGACTTGATCAAATCCAAAGGAAAGTTCCAAATTATGGGGAACTAGGCCTCTAAAGTGGCTAAATTCCCTCCACCCCCAAAATAAAAGGTGCTATGGTGGAGGGAGAAAAAAAGCCTGCAAAAGAAATATATATATATATACACACACACATATACATATACATATATATATATATACACATATACATATATATATATACATATATATATATATATACACTTTTTTTTTTGACTACTTAAGGGGCTTTATTTACATAAAAGGCCACCTTTCTGCTAGCCAGGCCAAACTGAAAGAGCAATGTCTACAACCCCATGCTAAGGTCTATAGCTAACGTCCTGCTTCGTTTTTTCACAACAGCTTAAGTTTGATTCCTAAAGCTCTTTCTAGTTTGACACTTGGTACTTCTGAAAGAGCAGGAATTTGTCCTAGCTAAAATATGGTAATGACATTTAAAAGGATTTTTTTAAGCAGTTCAATGGTTAAAAGCCAGGGTAATTAGTAGGCTCATATCCAAGATGTGTGTGTATATGTGCATGTGCGCACATTTGTATTTAAAAGACTTTCATGTTTTTTTCCTCTCCTATGACCTTGTCTTTTTTTTTTTTTTTTTTTGGCAAAATATTTTTTTCTTCTCAGTTGAATGAACTCTGTTTTTACCTGATTTTTTGACTAAAATAGTTATTGCAACAGAGGCTACTCTTGGGTTTTTAAGTAGGAGTGTAGCTTATCACTTTGAAATGTCCTTGTTTAAACAATATATTTTAATTGTACTGTAAAAGCATCACATGCTGTAGCCTCATAATAACTCTCCCTTTTTGGAGACCCAGGATTCAGTGTGGGCTCTGCCCAGAGCTCAGAGATCCAGTTAAAAAAAAATAGGTAGTCCCTAACTAAATAAACTTGCTCTCCTTATACAATCCTATGATACATTTTTATAATTTTATGTTTGATTTGACATCCTCTTTAATCTCCCTCTAGCATCACCAAACATTTTCTCTGTGTACCTTGAGATGTAAATTTTGCTATCCAATTTTTCATCTAAGAGTTGTTTCCTTTAATATGCAAATCTAAGGCTGTTTAGCTCACATCTGCCTAGGGTAGGATAGAAAAAAAAAAAGGAAAAATAGAAAGTCTTTATCAATCTATTAAGATGTACTTCTATCAGCATGCCCAATATGTCTATATATTTATGTGTTGTATATGCAATGTTTTGCTACTAAAAATATATAAAAGAGCTCGAATTAATTGGGTTACAAATCATAAAAGTGCTTAAATCAGACACTAAAAAAAGACTAGTCAAATGCTTTTCAAATTCACATGACTTAAGTAAAATCTTAATAAGATGGTTTTAAAATCATTGATAAAATAATATTAGAAATGTCTTAAGAATTTACCAGCATACATTTTTGTTTGCATTTATTAACCAAGCAATTTCATACTTAACCCTACCAAGTACTGCAAGGTGTCAAAACTTGGCAGAGGGGTTACAAAACTAAAACTCAGCCTGAAACAGAATGATATTTGCTTGTGTAATTTTTAATAAATAAGACATTATATTGGTTTAATAAAAAATAGGTACATCTAAAATGTAGTAATATTACCATAACTTTAACCCTGTGGATTTTGGTGGTCTAGTCCACAGGCAGTAAGGTTTGTTACTGCCTTTGTTTCAAAGGTAACTATGCACTAAGTTCCTCCAAAAGTTAGTTTGGCCTACACCCAGGAATGAACAAGGACAGCTTGGAGGTTAAAAGCAAAATGCAGTCAATGAGGTCAAATCTTTTTCACTGTCTCAGTTGTAATTTTGCAATGGCAGTTTTATAACTTTTAATCACGACCATCACACTTTTCATAAATAATCTAGGTAAACAATTAAAATAATATAATTAGGTAAATGTAATGGGATCAATACTTGTAGACAGGCTTGTCATAATTTAGAATATAAAGTTAAATTAAATAATAGATGTTTCATTATTTGTGTATTTTCCAATATAAATATATTTTAGGAAGACATTCTTTCTAAAAACAAAGTCCTTTTTAAAAGAGTGGACAATTTTTGTCTAACTCAAAGCTTATTTAAAGGTTACACATAAAACAAGGTAAAAGGAACCAGGAAATAAGAGAAGTTTAAAAAGAGGTAAGTGGAAATAAAGAGGTAATTTTTTTGGTAAGAAAGCTTAACAAGAAATGATTTTATATGAGAAAGAATTGTGTATGGTATTTTAGAGCTAGCATAAAATGACTAGTTGTTAAGAGAGAGGGATGTTCAGGACAAACCAGAAAGTCCAAGCATGTCATGAATGGTGTGTGTAAATCACAATAAAAGGATTTATAAAAAATAACCTACATGATCAAGTTGTCTATAATTAAAGGGAAATTATAATGGTTTTTAGAGATTGGGTTTGATGTAGAAAACACACATATACTAAACATGGTTTAGAACAATAAAATTTTCTTAAGAGATTGATTTACTCTTAATAAATTATAAAAGATTTTATTTTATTTTCTAATCCAAAGTTCAACTTTTATTGCATCTCTCCATTTTCGGTTTTCTCTCCCCTTTAAAAGGGCATGAAATAGTAATGCTCTCCAACAAATTTTCAGCTCACATAATTTTTTTTCTGGAATCCTGTTGTAGTGACCTGATATTAATAATATTTTCTTAAAGGCCTAAAGGAAATACTTTCTTCCAACTTAATCTTCTGTGCAGTGCAGAAGGTCATTTCTTTTGCCTTTTGCTAACTGGCCTAAAAGATGTATGTTTTATCAAAAAAATTCCTATGCCATTATTATTAAGTCTTAGTTTGCTTAGAAAAAACTGACATGAAATTTTTTATTTTAATTAACATTATTACATCCATGTATCTTTCTGTATGTGCTTTTAAAGTTCTTTTGACATTGAGTTACAGGGCTTTAACTCCTGGGTCTAAAAAGGACATCAAGTCCTGCCAAATCTGAAACCTTGACAGCAACTGAAGCCTCATCTTCATGCCCAGCAGAAAATGCCAATTGGAATAAACTGCATTCCTAAGACAAAAGGCCAGAAATTTAAGCTAGTCAACTCCTCAAGGCACAGTGGGTATCACAGAAGAGGTGGGCAAGTGAGAATATAAGGGCCAATTTTTGAAAGATAACATAGATTCAGTTTCTCAATAAATTAATCATGAATGTCAAAGGCACACTGATGCAAGACCAGCATATGAGCTCCTGTGTCAGATTAACTAGATTTTATTGAAGCATTAACTGACTTCTTAATAAAGGCTACAGGGTTATAAAAGGTTAATGGAAGTTATATCTTATGGCCAAGATTAAAATTTTATACATTGTTAAAAAATTTTGAAAAATAAATGTAATTGGGCTTATGCTGTTTTTATTAGTGTTTATTGTTTGGAAAATAAGACTCCTCTCTCAAAGAATGAAGGTTTTTGCCTTTTTTTAAAAAATCATTGGGTTATCACTTTGGTTAAACGAATGACTGGTTTTACAATGACCTCTGATCCTATTTTGTGATATCAAATGTTTTAAACCTTTGATATTTGACAAACTTTCCAAAATCAAATCATAAATTATGTCTCTTTCTGACCTAATTAATCCTTTAAAATATGAGGTTTCTTCAAGTCCAAAAATGACATCATTTGGCTTATTTTGTAGAAATATTATACAGGAAGCAATGTCAAATATGAAATGGTGTTTGGTTTTCTTTGGGTTGTATTTGTATAAATATGTTATTGGTATGTGTTCCAAAATCATGGAAAACTCCTATAATTCTGATGACTTAATGTATACAATTAGGAATAATTATAATTATTATATTAAATTATTGTGTGCCACAGAGGTAACAAATTTCCTTGTCAATTGTGTCTTTTTTGTGGCTGCCCTAAAACCTTTTGTCATCCTGGACAATTGTCTTGTTTTGGTCTTCCTTAGAAGGTGGTTTTATAATCAGCTATAAAACTCTAACATGTGTTCCTAAATTCAGGTTTCTGATAACTTTGGAGACTATGACATCAGAATAGAGGAAAAAAAATTCAGCACTCTTATAGAGAGCTGAAATGTTCATGAATATCAAGCAGAACAGCAGTTAACTGCATAAACTAAACTAGTAGAAGACTAAAGTAATCTTTTTAACTTTTTTGCTTAGAATATTGCTGATCCTTTGTTTAGTTTTTCAGAGACAGGAAAACTTTTCTTTTAAGCTATTTACAGCTTTTAGCAGTTAAGTAAGGTATATTCTTAAGAACAAAATTTGGAGCATACTTGTTTCTCTCTACCTGATTTCTCCAAGATTTGAAAACTATTTTTGAGTATTCTTAACTTCTAACAATACAGTTACTTGCACAAGTGCAATCTGTTTTCACTTGTAACAGGACACAATTGAAGAAACTGGTTATTTTACCAAGACTTTGACTGAAATAAGGCACCATCCTTTAAACAATCAAACTTGACTTATAGAGCCAATTAAAGCCCCACATGGAAAAAAAAAAAAAAACAACTGGCCTCACACCTTTGCCTACACAGCCCCTGTACAGGGTTCCTGACCTGTGGTAGGTAATGAATGTCACTTTATCACAGGACCAGGAGCCTCAAGGTTATCTTGGAACCTCAAGAGGAGATCACCCAAGTCACAGGTATTTGATGGCACAAATCCATGACTGGGTTTGTCTTTTAAAAAGTCTTACCTGCATACCGTTCCATGAAAGCCAGTTGAAATGCCAATGTAAAAAATAATTATTCTTGTCGCACCATATACAAATAATTAGGCTAAATCTGATAAAGCAAACCAGATCTACCATAATTTGTTTTTAGTAAAAATGTGAAACTGAGGAGGGAAATATTATGTTTCAAAACTATAGGTCACTCGTTGTTAGAGTCTAGTATTTTCTAATGATTTTCAATTTTTATTATTTTTTACAGTTTGAGCTGAATTCTAGTTTTTCCTGTATACAAGTCTCTAAAAATTTTTTCTTATTTTTCTTCTTTATTTTCCTGAAAATAAACCTCATTTTTCCTAATGTGAAATCACTGAAAACTAAGCTATACTTTTATAAAGCCCTGGCTAGACAACTTAAACTTCCAAAGAAAATAACAACAACCTATTTACATACATAACCCACTTTCATACCTGCCTACTGATGTATGGACTTCACAGTAATGTGGCCTTTATCAATTTTCCAGGATTGTTCTTATGTTTGTTATTTTTCTCCTTTCCTCACCCTATTTTCTCTTCATAGGACATGAGACTTCACAATCTGCTAAAAATGAGCTTTCCTAATTAGTCGGTACTTAACCATTTAGGATTAAACCATTCTAGCCATGAGAGATTAGACGAAACCTGAGACCGGAGACTCATTTTCTTCTAAGATATTTTCCTCAAAAGATTTTTAAAAAGAAAAGCAGGGAAATGTGAAAGAAAAATAAATCTTGGGGCCTCCAAATCACTACTGCTTAGGGCCAGCCTGCCTCCCATTCTATTCAAAGTCACCCCTCTGCTCACTGAGATAAATGCATATCTAATTGCCTCCTTTGAAGAGGCTAATCAAAAACTCAAAAGAATAAAACCATTTGTCTCTTAACTACCTGTGACCTGGAAGTCCCTTCCCTGCTTCGAGTCTTCCCTCCTTTGCTTCAAAGTTGTCCTGCTGTTCCAGACCAAACTAATGATCATCTTGCATATATTGATTGATGTGTGATGCCTCCCTAAAATGTAAAAAACCAAAATGTGCTCTGACCATCTTGGGCACATGTCATCAGGACCTCCGGAGACTATGTCACAGGCGCATGTCCTCAACCTCAACAAAATAACTTTATAAATTACCTGATACCAGTCTCAGATTTTCAGGATTCATACTCTTCTTTTTACTATTATTATTATTTGTGTTAAGAACAGTTAACATTATATCTATCCTCTAAGCAAATTTTTAAGTATACAATACAGTATAAATGCCATTATGTGCAGATTTCTAGGATGTATTCATCTTTACTAACTGAAACTTTGTACCCTCTTTAAAAAATTTGTCTTGATTGGTACATTCTATGCTTCCTGTGTTTGTGGAATCATTAATCAGTTCTGGAAATTCTTGGACATCACCTCTATGAATATTGCTTCTACTAAATTTTCTCTAATCTCTTCCTCCTAGACTCTGATTATGAGCTTATACATATTCATGTTCATGTATTTTATCACTTTTGCATTGTCCATTCCCTTGTCTCTCTATGCAGCTTTCTGTGTTACTTCTTTGTGTATATACATGTAAACCAAAAATAAAATTCTAAGGAACCCCCAACCATCTGAATGGACTTCTTCCTCAGCCAGAGCTCTTAAAACTTAACATGAAAGACTGGTTCAGGCCATGAAGGGAAGTGGGGCTCGAACATGTCTTATTATACCTCTCCAGCATTAACATCAACAGAGACTTTAAGTCTGCTAAGAAACATTTTGCAATATATTATCTCTGAAGTCTGCTAGCTAGAAGCTTCATCTGCATAGTAAAACTTTGGTCTCCACAATCTCTTATTACGAACCTAGACATTCCTTTCTATTGATCCCAGGTCTTTAGAAAAACCCAACCAATTGCCAACCAGAAAATGTTTACATTTACCTATAGCCTGGAACCCTTCCCTCCCTTCGAGTTGTCCTGCCTTTCTGGACCAAACCAATGTATTTCCTAAATGTATTTCTTTGATGTCTCATGCCTCCCTCAAATGTATAAAACCAAGCTGCACCCGGACTATCTTGGGGACATGTTCTTGGGACCTCCTGAGGGCTGTGTCATGGGCCATGGTCACTCATATTTGGCTCAGAGTAGATCTCTTCAAATATTTTACAGAGCTTGACTCATTTCATCAAAATATTCTTCAACAATTCTCTTTAAAATGATGTCAAATGTGTAATTTCATCTATCTAGCGGCAGATTTCTTGTACTTTTCATATATTTCATATTTATACTTCTTATTTCAGGAATGTTTTTCTTTCCATCTGTCTGTTCATTCTGATTATTACTCAGTATATGCTTATATTTTAATGCTGCGAGTATATCTTTAAACATTTTGTATGCAGCTATTGTATATATTTAAAATAGGATTTTCCAGCATATACAGACTGTTGTGGCTAAATCTGTTACTTGTACATTTCATTGATTCTCCTTATGATTGCTGGCCTTTTAGCTGTCTGAATATTTTTCTGTTTGCTCATTTCTTTATGTTCATTTCTGTATATTATGAGATTTATATAGGAACAATTAACTGCATGAGTTTATTACAATAATAATAGTAGCTTGAGGATAACCTCAACCCAGAACCATTATAGTTCATTTGAGAGTTTTGCTTCAAGAAAGAAGTTCAAGTTCAGAAGTTCAGGAACCCTACAGCTGGAATCCACTCCCCAGCACCTCCACCCTACTCAGTGTCTGCTGGACTCTCTGGCTCCCATCTGTTCTGGCTACCTGCCTCTGTGGTCCTGATTGCCAGGTACTAATGATCAGGCTCTGGAAACCAAACCCAACTCCTGATCTTACAGATTCCAATGTTGTTTCACAATGCCCCTAATTCATATTAATTATTTGTGCTTTTAATTAATTAATTGACTTTTGTATAGTGAGGGTGTTTACTGGATAATTTTTATAGATTTTTTTTTCAGAGCAGCAAGTGTATTAGATTTCTTTTTTCTCCAGAAAAAAAGAAACAATAAAGGACAATAGGGAAGATCAATCTATCTGTACAGCAAAGGAAACAATCAAGAGAGTGAAGAGACAACCTACAGAATGGGAGGACATATGTGATAAGAGGTTAATTTTCAAAAGATATAAAGAACTCAAACAACTCAACAGCAAGAAAACAAATAACCCTATTTGAAAATTTGCAAATGACCTGAATAGATATTTCTCAAAAGAAGACATGCAAATGGCAAACAGGTAAATGAAAAAATGCTCATTATCACTAAATATTAGGAAAATGCAAATCAAAAACACATTAAGCTATCACCGCACACCTGTTAGAATAGCTATTTTGAAAAAGACAAAGATAACAAAAATTAGAAGGATGTGGAAAAATGGAAACCATTCATAATGGTGGTACGTAAACTAGTACCACCATTATAAAAAGCAGTATGAAAATACCTATAAAAATTAAAAATAAAACTATCACATAATCTAGTAATCCTACTACCAAATATATATCCAAAGGAAATAAAATTAATATGGCAAATAGACATCTGCACTCCCATGTTTATTGCAGCACTATCCACAATAGCCAAGATAATGATCAAAATAAGTGCCCATTAATGGAGGAATAGTATTTAAGACATAAAAATAATAAAATATTGTCATTTGCAACAGCATGAATGAATCCGAAGAACATTATGTTAAGTGAAATAAACAAGAAAAAGAATGACAAACATCCCATGATCTCACTCATATATGGAATCAAAAATGTTGATCTCATAGAAGTAGAGAGTAGAATGGTGGTTACTATTGGTTTGGGTGGTTAGGGAGGATGTCCTTGGTGAGGGGTTATGGAGAGATGTTGGTCAAAGGATATATAATTATAGTTTGATAGAAGAAATATATTTTGATGTCCAGAACAGGCAAATGAATGGAGACAGAAAGTAGATAAATGATTGCCTGGAGTCAGAAGGGGTAGGAAGTATACATGGTGGGGGTGGTGGGTGGGGAATGACTATTAATGGCTATGAAGTTTTTTGGGGAATGATGAAAATGTTCTATAATTGATTGTGGTAATGGTTACATAACTCTGTAAACAAACTAAAAACCATTAGATTTTATACCTTACATGAGTGAATTGTATAATATGAGAATTATATTTTAATAAAGCTATTTTTAAAATTTATCTATTTACCCATTCATTTGAGATAACAGAGATAGATTTTTCAATGAAGTAGTTTACCCATTTATAGCAATTGGAAATTCTGAAATGTGGGTCAGGCTGTCAGGCTGGAAATTCAAGGGACAGTTGATGTTACGGTCTTTAGTCTGAAATTCACAGAACAGGCCAGCAGGCTGGGAACTCAGTCAGGGTTTCTATGTTGCACTCTTGAGGCAGAATTTCTTTTTTATCAGGCGACCTCAGTCTTTTTCTTAAGGTCTTCAACTGATTTGATGAGACCCACCCACATTATGGAGATCAATCTGCTTTAAAGTCTACTTATTCTAAGTATTAATTACATCTAACTACATACCTTCACAACAACATCTAGACTAATGTTTGACCAAACAACCCAGCACCATAGCCTATGCAACTTGATGCATAAAATTGGCCATCATAGCAAGTCTTCAAAAACTGTGTCTAATTCATGTCTAATTTTTATCAAGTAGAGTTTCCCTCTAAAATTCTGCTCAATTATGACACTAAAATTAAAAATTCTAAATAGATATTTTTATTAAAATTATCACTTAAGACACAGAGTATAGAAAAAAAATATGTGGGCAGGGGAGTGTAAATGACATTTTCCCCAAAATTCTCTTGATCTTTTCTTCCTCTCATTTCACTCTCTGTTGTAGCTGAACTTAAGAGTGTATTTCTAGTGCTTCATTTTTTTTTTAACAACTCCACTTCTGCCTGAAAATATGGCTTTATAAGAAGATCTGATAGGCAGAAGTACCTAGGTGTGGGAAAATTACCCAAAATAGCCACTAAAGAAAAGTGATTCCTCTAAATAGTTGCATAACATTTGTTAATAAACCTACAGGATGGAAAACACAGAAAAAAATGTGATATCACTTTTTTTCCAGTTATTATTTTTATCCTAGACATGGCGTGGGGGCAGCCAGCCAACTCCCAAGGAAAATCTATTGTACAGCATTCAGTAAATCAGCCCATTCAGGAGAAGGCATTTTCTGCCATAAGTATTCACTCAGCCACCATTGTAGACTTACAAATGTTCATGATATACTCATGGGATAAATCTTGTTATGCATTTTACTCTGTTCCCAAGAAAAGTAGTTCTGAGACAGTAACCCCCTATCATCTAATTCCTATTTGTTCACATATACTGATTACACTCTACTGCATGGACTTCACCAAAGCCTACACTATGACATTTGTAGGCCATTTAACTTTACAGCTATGTTGATATAAACCTGAATAGATTAATATATTAAACTATTTTCTCCAAAATAAAATATGCTTTTCTGATAAACAAATAAATTAAATCATTTTCTGTACTCTCTAGAAGTTTCATGAGCTCTGGACACACTGTGCCCACTGTGTCTAATAGAGAAATTATCTTTGGCTTCATTTTCTTCCTAGTTTCCAACTTTCATTACTCTCCAAGCAAAAATGTTTACCTTTCTAACTTTGAGAGAAAAATAAAATGCCCAGTTTTAGAAATAATTACAGAAAAATAAAACTCTTTCACTCGAGTAAAAATATACTTCTTTGAGTTCTAAGTGATAATTTAAAGGATCAGACTTTTTATATGACTAGCAAAGATCCTCTGGAAGTGGAAATATAAGAAAAATTAATGTGTATATTAATAACCCACATTATCATACAATCAAGATTTTACCATGAGGCTTTATATTTAATCATTTAATTTTGGAATGCTAATTTTATGTAATAAAAATGAAGATATTTTAAATAAATCAAGTCTAAGGGAAGGGGAAATAAAAAGACTGTTGAGGTACAATATTGGATAATTGTAAATATTAAGAAATATTATTTTTTTAATCAGGAAAAGCTATCATTTACTCTAAACTTTGATTAGAATACTTAGGAAAAAACTATTAACAGTCACTTTCGTGTCTTTGATTTCTTGAATTATTGCTTCTCACGGAATGTTTTTCATGTAGTTCTCAACAAATCATTTATAGATTCCCTTTCTTTAATAGTATGTTTAAATCATCCTGGTCAAGTACCCACATTTAATAGAAATAACCCAGAAGCATATCTGTAATTTAAACTAAATTTGGCATGGCAAATAAATTTACAAGAATTCCAAAGAATACCCAGATTTGTAAGAACATATATGTATGTGTCTCTATGTGTATATAGACAGAAATGTGTAATACATGTATGTGTACATATACACTTGAAATATAGTATACAATTGAAAAATATATGTAAAAATATTAAAAATATGAATATGGATTCATAAATCCATATTCTAAATATGGATTATCACATATGTACTTGAAGTATAGGTTATGTTTGAAATGAAATGCAATATAATTTAGGTGCACCAAATAACAATGTGCATATATACATACATTCATATATCAATATATAAAATATATTAATATAATATATAAATGTATTGTATATTTATATATAGACATATGTATCAATAAATATATTAATATAGAGATGATATATTGTGTATAAAATATTAATATATAAATAACATATATTTAGACTATAGCTTATACATATGAAATATATATGAGATATAATAGTTTGTATTTGAAGCATAGCTTAATATAATTTGGGAATACAAAATATCTATGCCCTCATTGTATATGTATAATGCTCATCTTAAATATGTGTCTGTATCTACTTACTCATGTATTTGTAGTGATACTGATATAAAAACACCTACTGCACCACCAGTCATATAAAAGTCTGGCACATACAATTATTTGTAAATAATATAAGTACATAATACTTGATAATGATAGTAAACAACTATGTTAACGGTTTATGTATTTACTATACTGTAATTTTATTATTTGATAGTTTACTCCTTCTATTTATTAAAATAAATATATTTACTATAAAACTGTATGTTGTGTTAGGCTTGCAGCAGCCTCATACATCTTGGGCTACCATATCTCCTGACTGCATCAGTTTCTCTGCGCTTGATTTAATTTCTTGGTATTTTGTTCGTCATGACCCCTAAGCATACAAAGTCACTGTTAATGTTGCCAGTAAGAAGCCACATCAAGTGATTGAACTGGAAACAAAATTAAAAGTGATTAAGGACTAGGAAACTGGAAAATCAGTGATGGTTATTGTTCATCAGTCAAGCATGTCCCATTCCACCATAGCTACAATCTCAAAGAACAAGGTGACAGAAGCTGTTAAAAGATCTGCTTTAGTGAAGAAACTAGACCAACAAAAATTTGGGTAGGGCTTTATCAGATATGCATAAACTTCTATGGGTCTGGATTGAAGACAAGATGCAGATGTTTAACCCTCTCAGCACCATGATAGCCAAAGCAAAATGTTGGTTTGTGATGTTGTAAGTAGAGGCTGGACCCAACTATGATGTTGAATTTACTGGCAGCTCTGGGTGGTTTAAAAGTTTCAAGAACTGTTATTTATTAGATAATGTGAAGTTGAGTGGTGAGTCTGAAAGTGCTGATAGGAAGGCAGCTGAAGAATTTTTGGAAACTCTAGATAAGCTGATTGTGGAGGAAAATTACTTGCAAGAGAAAATTCTTTTTTTGTTTTTTTGTTTTTTTTTGAGACAGAGTCTCGCTCTGTCGCCCAGGCTGGAGTGCAGTGGCGCGATCTCGGCTGGCTGCAAGCTCCGGCTCACTGCAAGCTCCGCCTCCGGGTTCACGCCATTCTCCTGCCTCAGCCTCCCGAGTAGCTGGGACTACAGGCACCTGCCACCACGCCCAGCTAATTTTTTGTTTTAGTAGAGACGGGGTTTCACTGTGTTAGCCAGGATGGTCTCGATCTCCTGACCTCGCGATCCGCCCGCCTTGGCCTCCCAAAGTGCTGGGATTACAGGCATCAGCCACCGCGCCCAGCTGAAAAATCTTCAATATGGATGAAATATCCATATTCTAGAAATAATTTCCTGAAAAGACTTTCATCCCAAAGGAGGCAAATGAATGCCAGGTTTCAAGGCCTTTAAGGACAAGGTAACAGTCTTCCTTGGGGGCAATGTTATAACTGTAAATTGCAACTGTTTGTGATCTGACACAGTGCGAATTCCAGGATCTTTCAGAGTATCAGTAAACACACTGCCAATATACTCCAAGACCAATAAGCAGTCGTGAATGGTGAACTCCTCTTCCAAGATGCCCTCCTAAATTTCCTATGCCAGCAAAATAGAGAAATACTATTTGGAGAATAACTTATCTTTCAAGATTTTGTTTATTGTTAGCAATGCTGCTGCACATTCTTCTTTCATTCATGACCATTGTCCCAATATCAAAGTATGTTGCTTTCTTCAAGCACCACCTCTTTGATCCAAACAATGGGTTGTAACCCTTTCAAGTCTGGACAAAAACATGAGAAGCAAGGAGTAGCGAAAAGAAAGAAGCTTTAACCAAATGCTAGCAGATGGGAGATAGCTGGGCTCACATCTCCAAGAAACTATCTCAGCCTTCTGAGCTTACTGAGAAGGTTTACGAAGGAAAACTTGGTGTGAAAATATGTGGGAGTGGTGCAGGAGGGTGTACGTCTGTGTGTCTTGTCCCAATAGTTATCTTGAGTAATTGCCTATCCAGAGCTCCCGTTTGTGTCATCACGACATCGGCCTGGTAGTGGTGGACTAACTCTTCATAACAACCCCTAAGCAGGAAAATTCTTCAGCTGGGTCTCTATGCCTGGTTTGTTTCAAAATTAGCCCCCAGAATTTCTAAGTGAGCATATAATCAGATAAATGTGGATGGTGTAAGGGGGTGTCTGGTGGGAAATGGAGAGAAACAAAGTTTTAAACGTATGTTTCAAAGCTGAAAGCAAAAAAGGAAAAACAAAGTTTTAAAGTGCATTTTGAAGCTAAACTATTTGATTACAGGTAGGAGGTATAGCGGCTTTTAAGGCCTACTACTGGAGGAAGACCTTTGCCCAAGATATTGCTGCAATTGAGGAAGATTCTGAGAAGACACATGAAATCTTGGAAGGATTACAACATCTATGACTGTATTAAGAAAATTCTTTGGGCTTGGGGCAATGTTACCAAGGAGTGTATGAATGGCATCTGGTAAAAGATACTCCAGAGGTTTATCCATGAATTTGAAGGATTTGCCAAGGATGCGAAGGTTGCAAACATTAGCAAGATTGTGGTTAAAATGGAAAACAACTTTAACCTGGTGTGCATGAGGATGACACTGAGGAGTTCCTAGAGGTGGTTCCTGAGGAAATGACTAGTAAGGAGTGGTTGAAACTGAAAAAAGAATGCAACTGCTGAAGAAGAGTCAAGAGAAGTGGAAACTGCAGAATATAAAGAACACTCTCCATGAACATTCACAGTGAAGGGTTTAGCAGAAGCTTTTAGAGACCTCAACAAGCTCCTTAAAAAGTGTAAAAACATGGACCCCAACATCAAAAGGTTTTCATTAATAGAGAGGAATGTTAGTGAAGCATTATCTGCTTTTAAGCAAATCTATGATAGAAAAAAGAAACAAACCAAGCAAACCACAATGGATATATTTCTGAAAAAAAGTGACAACTCTAAGTGCCTCAGACAGGTCCTTCAGGAGGTTTTCCAGAAGAAAGAATTGTTGTCATAGAAGATGACAGCTCCATGCATGTTATTGCCCCTGAAGACCGTCTAGTGGGACAAGATATGGAGGTGGAGACAGTGATTGATAATCTTGATCCATTGTAGGCTTAGGCTAATGTGTGTGTTTGTCTTAGTTTTTTTTTTTAAAGTTTTAAAATTAAAAAATTAAAAATATTAAAAATGTTAAAAGTTTATAGAATATAAATGAAGAAAATATTTTTATACAATGTATGATGTGTTTGTATTTTAAGCTAAGTATCATTACAAAAGACTCAAAATTTGAAAAAGTTTACAAAGGAAAGAAAAAGTTACAATAAGGTAAGTTTATTTTTGAAGAAAAATCATGTTTTTATAAATGTAATGTAGCCTAAGTGTTCAGTGTTCATAAAGTCTACAGTACTATACATTGATGTCCTCCCCCTTCCCATTCACTTACCACTCACATCCAGGGCAACTTCGAGCCCTGTAAGCTTTATTTATGGTTAAGTGCCCTATACAGGTATACTGTTTTTTATTTCTTACATTATATTTTTCCTGTACCTTTTCTATGTTTAAATATGTTTAGATACACAAATACCATTGTGTTAAAATTGCCTACAGAATTCAGTATAACAGCATTCTGTACAGATTTTCAGCCAAAAAAAAGTAGGCTATACCATATAGCCTTAGGTGTGAGTAGGCTATACCACCTAGATTTGTGTAAGTACACTCTATGATGTTCACACAATAGTGAAATTGCCTAACAATGCATTTCTCAGAATACATTCCAATCATTAAGCAACACATGAATCTCTCCATATGTGTATGTATATACACACACAGATACTAGCTAGCAAGGTGTATATATAGCAAGGTATATATAGAGAGCAAATATATATATATATATACACACACACACATACATATACACACACACACACACACACCTTGCTTTTCTAAAATTATTTCAAATGTGGCCACAATTTAAATTGCATATAAATTGCATTTAAATTGTGGCCACATTTGAAATAATTTTAGAAAAGCAAGGTATCACAAACTCTTTCTTTATGAGTATTAGTGAAAAATGGTAGTTTTCAAATCATCATACTAATTTTAAATTTTGAAAATAAAACTTTACAGGATGCTGGACATGTGCTTATTCATTAGAAATGAAGCCTCTTAACTTACGACTTGTTTTCTTGTCTAAAGAGTAACTGTTAAATCTTCCTGCCATGTTAATTGCTCACTGCTTTCTTGTCTAGAAGAAAATGACACAAAATCAGTGATGTGTTTATTTTAGTTTCTAAAGCCTAGTATGAGCAAAAAAAAATTTACTCTGCATGAAAAGATATTTTTTTTCCTATTTGTAAAAAATAAAACATGGAGTTTTGGTGTCTCAGTTCTTGCTAATATGATTATGAAAATAGTCAAGCTATAAAACCTGAATAAAATGAATTTATGAAACAAACATGAAAAGAAGAATATTTTTAAACTTATAAATTATCATTTCCTAGAGAATTTAAATATAGGTGAAACTTGAAAAGTTAAATTTATGATATTCAAACTAAATTATTTTAAATGTCTTTTATGAGGAGAAAATAAAAACTGAATATCCATTATGTTGATAACATGTTGAGAATTACAAAACGTAACTTAGGAGAATAACATACCCTTGAAAAAAATCTATGTAACAGAAATAATAAGAAATAAAGTCGAGAAGCAAATTTCCAACAGAAATACTGTACTTTTGAGTGCTGAGATTTTAAGCAGTTATAAAGCAAGCAAAATATCATCAAAAACAAATGACAATGTTCTGATATTTACTGAAACTGCACAATCACAGAATTTCATTGTAGAATAATTTAGAATTCAACTCTTTTCATCTTAACCCCACCTTATTTTACTTTCCTTTTGCTCTAAGGGCTCTTAAACATGAACAATTTAGGAAAAAACACTTGCTTTCAAATTTATGTAATTGATATATTTTTACAGCTCATGATTACTTTTAAACAAAATATATACAGATTGACCTATTTTATGCCAGTCTCTGTACCACATGTCCAGCAAAACTTGAGTAACTGATTGAAATTATTTGATTTGTTTAGATGCAGGACTCACAATAATAAACAAAATTTTTAAAAAATGTGATTTCATCATCTCTATATTAACATATTGTGATGAATAATACTTCAATTCAAAATAAATTTTTATTTATATAACCTTAATCCTACCTAAACAAACTTTCAGTTTGAACCCAGACCTAGTTCTTAAAAATTAAAGTGATAAAGAATATGCAGAAATAGGTTTTACAAATTTATTGTTATACAATACAAACCCCTACAGAAAATAACAATTAAAATAAGAAGAAAATTAATGATTGGATAAATTAGCAACAAACACAGTGATACAGATCACAATTGAGCCCAGCTAAACAATTTCTGAATGAAATAAAAATAAGCCCAATAGTAGCCCAGAAGGTACGCTGTGACTAGGTGGTTTTGCTTGGGGTGATTTGGGAAGAATAAATCTAACTCGACAAACAATAGCAGTTCCTGGAAAATATTAGATGAGGCATTTAAAAATTATACATCTCTACTTCTAAGTTTATGTATTTGGGAACTATTCAAAAAACTTACAGGCACTTTTTAAAAATCATGATAATTATATTGGCAAAATAATGATAGTGATCATCACTTCTCTAAGGTAGTCAGAATCGCTTCCCTCTATTTTGAATATTTCTAGTGTCAAACAAAGATTCTCTCAATCAGGAATAACCCTATTTATAATGCTACTTAATTTCCTACTAAATTTTTGGGGAAGGTTATAGGGAAATAATTATTAACTTCATTTGAATTTGAATTGTGCTCATTTTTCTTACCAAAAATAGTCTTTATACAGCTATAAAAACCTATCTTGGAGCTAATCTTTGGAGAATTCCTTTCTATATTTCCATTTACTTGTTAAGGTAATAAAATTCAATTTCTGTGTATAGCTACACCTCTATGGTAGAGTCTTCACTTAATATGAGAGAAAAGTAGGGAGGTATGTGGGTAAAAGAGGGGAGAGAGAACAGGCAATGGGTGTAGGATAGATGGACATGGGAAGCTAGGATTATATACCTGCTTCACTGTCTTAGGCCAGTTTCTGTTGTTTATAATAGAGTACCTAAAGCAGGATAATTTATAAATAAATTCTACTTGTATAGATTTGGAGGCTGGAAAGGCCAAAGTTAAGGGGCACATCTGGTGAGGACCTTTTTGCTGACAGGAACTCTGCACAGTTGAGAGGTGGCTCAGGGCATCACATAGAGAGGGGCTGAGTGTGCTAATCAGGTACCTCTTTCTTCTCTGATAAAGACACTAATGCCACTCCTGTGATAATCTGTTTCCCAATTATTTATTTTAAATTTTTTATTTTATTTTAAGTTCTGGGATACATGTGCAGAATGTGCAGGTTTCTTACACAGGTAAATGTGTGCCATGGTGGTTTGCCCAACATTTCTCCATTATTTATTAATCCATGAACAGATTAATTCATTCATAACCCAGTCACCTCTTAAAAGCCCCATCTCTCAATATTGCCACCCTTGGGATTAAACTTCAACATGAGTTTTTGAGGAAACACTCAAACTATAGCATTCTGCCCCTGGCCTCCCAAAACTCATGACCTTTTCACATACAAATACATTTATTCAATCCCCGTTGCCCCAGTGTCTCAATTAATTCCAGCACCAAATCAAAAGTCTGAAGTTCCGAGTCTCATCTGTGTACCTTATCTCATCTTTAATCTGTGTAATTAAAGCAAGTTATCTATTCCCAGTATACAATGGTGGTACAGGCATAAAACAAATATTCCCATTTCAAAAGGGAGAAATAGGCAAAAAGAAAGAAAATCTGGAACCCAGAAGGACAGGCATTAAATCTTAAAGCTGGAAAATAATATATTTTGACTCCATGTACCACTTCCTGGACAGAATGGGGTGGGAATTTGGCTCCCAAGGCCTCAGTCAGCACAATCTCTATTCCTTTACTGGGTGCAACTCATATGGCTGCCCATACAGGTTGGAGTCCAGTGCCTGAAGCTTTCCCAGGTGAGTGTTGCATGCTTCCAGTGACTCCACAGTACTGGGGTTACAGTGGGCATGTCTGTTCCTACAGTTCCTTTAGGCATTACTCTAGTTGGAACTCTTTGGAGGTCTTATTTTGTTGGTTCTCTTAGGCATCGCCCTCGTGGGCATTATGTAACAGCTCCATTACCACAATACTTGGCTCTTTGGAGGCTTTGCAGTGGCATCACCCCTGCAACAAGTCTCTGTCTGGGGCCCCAGGCTTTCAGTGACATTCTTGAAATCTTGGTGGAGGCTGCAAAACCTACATAGTAGCACCACCTGAATGCTGCCAAGGCTTATGGCTTGGATCTTTCTGAGTGATGGGTTGATCTATACCAAGCACTGCTTGAGCCATAACTGGGGTAGTCAAGAAGTACAGCACTAGAATTTGGAGAGCAGAATCTGGAGGCAGTCCTGAGCAGCAAACCTGTGGAGCATATCTTGGGCCTCTCCTCCTAAATCATTGTTCCCTTGAAGGCCACTGGGCCCATAATGGGAGGGGCAGTCTAGAAGATCTCTAAAATGCTTTCTGGGTCTTCCATTTTCTTGAGAAGTAGCATCTGGTTCCCTTCTATTTATGTTAATCTGTTAATCTCTTTACCAAAATGTCACTGTGCTACATCCTTCGTTTTCTCTCCTAAACATACTTTTTCACTCTCTTGGTCAGGATGACAGCTTTCCAAATCTCTTTGCTCTGCTTCCCTTTTGATTATAAATTATGTCTTTAAATTATTCCTTTGTTATCAAATCTCAGTAAGTGGCCAAAAGTAACCATGCAGCTCCTCCTACATTTTGTTTAGAAATTTCTTCTGCCAGATACCCTAGTTCATCATGCACAAGTTGGGTCTTCCACAAAGCCCTTGGGTATAGACACAGTTTAGTCAAGTTAATTGCCAACTTATAACAAGAATAGCCTTTACTTTAGTTTCTAGAAAATGTCCTTTACTTTTTTCTCAGTTTATCTGAATCCTTGTCAGAATAACTTTAGCTGTCTATATTTTTATCAGTGTTCTCGTCATGACTACTTAATCAAGCTCTAAGGAATTCTAAACTTTCCCAATCCTTATTGTCTTCTAAGACCTATTCAGAGTCTAGAACTTTTCTAGCCCACTTCTCCAATTCTTTCCACCTCTGCCCATTACCCAGTCCTAAAACTGCTCTGACATTTTGAGGTGTTTATTATCAGCAACATCCCACTCCCAGTACCAACTTTCTATCTTCATTGATTTTCTGTTGCTTAAAACAGACTACCTGAAACTTTATAATTTATAAAGAAATTTATTTCTTACAGTTCTACAGGCTGGGAAGTTCAAGGTCAATGGGGAACATCTAGTGATGGCCTTCTTGCTGGTGACTCTGCAGAGTCCAGAGGTGGCACAGAGCATCACATGGCAAGAGAGATACACATGCTAGCCCAGGTCTCTGTTTCTTCTTTTATAAAACCACTAATTCTACTCCTGTGAAAACCCATTAATCTATGTATAAATTAATAAATTCATAAGGACAAAGCTCTCATGATCCAATCACCTCTTAAAGACTCCCACCTTATTTCTACATGAGTTTTTGAAGGAATAAACATTCAAACCATAGCACCCATAAAACACACAGTTATCATATTTAGTAGATTGAAATACTCAAGGTAAAATTTGCATTTATATGTAAGACTGGCTTTAGCAACTTTCTTTGAAAATGTAAACACCGCTGAGAGGTTTAGTAGTTCAAATGAACACTGAGTTTTAAACACTTCAACGTTCACTGGTTGGTTAGCATCTTCTTTTTCCTTTAGGTGACATCAGTGTTATGAACTGTCAGTGTTAGGAGAAACAGAAAGGCTAGGTATGGAAGGTGGTCACTGCAGAGAATGAACAAGTAGGAATGGAATACCATAGTGACAGGAGAATCAACAGAAAGCAAATGAAAGATAGGAGATAAAAGAAAAGTAGCCTTAGACGGTTCACTCATTGTGTGTTTTTTCTCCTAGATATTTAGTCTTGTGCTAAGGGTTGTCAAAGCCACAGCATAAATATAGCTCATCATCATAAAGCATTGATTATATCCCAGCTTTTGGATGTAGAGGTCAATAATTTAACCAAGTAATTTAAATATCTATATGTTAAATCAGAATGAATATATTACTTACAAGAACACATATATCATGTGTTGTTTTAGGTTAAAATAGGAATTTCAAAACATCTTGAGGCTTTAGGGTAGCTATTCTAAATTAAATCCCAGCTCTGTGGATAGACAAATTTTATTAGATGAAAAGTTTGAAAAGCACTACTATCTAATCTTGCCTGGTCTACTCCTAACTTACATAATTATTATGCATAGAAAACAGTCTGACACTGGTAAAGCTGTTCAAAAGAGTATGTAACTTAACAACATAGACTTTTAAAAAAGTGATAAATAAAAATGAAGAGATGTGATGCTTCTTTATTTATGTAAAAGGAACGTATTATACTATACTTGTGGGAGGATTTGTCTCAGCAATAATATGATACCATCAAACATCTTAACAGAGATGAAAAAGAAATAAAATGAATAAGCTGCTTGACAAAGGAAGTCATTAAAAATTTTTGGCTCCTCAAAGTCTCCTCTGAGGCACCATCATTTAAGGCCTTTCTAGATATTGTATCCTTTTTTTTTTTTAAAGTCATATTTCTTGACTATATTCAAAATAAGAATACCAGAATACTACATACACCTGAAAATATAGATATTTTATTAATTTTGGATGTACATGATGCTTGATCTATTCATTATAGCCACTTTTCAAGAGCACCTGTGCACAGCTCTCATGGAGAGGACAAGAAAGGGCTGGCGAACACTGACCCTGCAGGTCGATCATCTGATAAATCACGTTGGGATACTTTAGGGCTGTGGGGGAGCACATACAGCAGAGAGGAAGGAAGCTGGGCACCAGCCTGTCTGGGCTCAGATTTTCCCAATAACCCCATGGCTTTCGAATTATTTTTATGATCATTTTACAGATGAAGAGAGGAGAGTTTTTTAAAAGGTTACACAATTTGATAAAGTCACACAAGTTGTGAGTTGTAGAGCCAGGATTCATCCACATGAAATCTGGTTCCAGAGTTTGTACTTGTAACCACTATGCTATATCCTTTCTCCAATTAACTCAGAGAATAAACTAATAGTTTTCCTATATAAGATTTTTTTCCTTATGCACATTTCTGTTTTTCTTTGTGGATTTCTAGATCCAAGCAAGTCTCCTTAGACATCCGTAAACACAAGAACTTAAAAAAAAAAGCTTAATAAATATGTAAGTTGAAATAGCTATAAAACTAAACTAGTATTTTTGTAAACTAAATGAAATTCAGATAATTTCACAAGCCATCGAAATTCTAGCTACTCAGGTGCAGTGACTTGCATCATTACCTGGCCAGCTTTTCTCAGAGCCTTTATATGGTGCTAAGGGAACTGTTAGCTTGGCCTAAAAGTGTTCATTTGTTACCCAGTGATGACAATTACCTGTCTCCTCCTCTTTCACAGACTCTTAATCTCCAGATGGAACGTGCTGCCAGCCAAATTTATAGATATCCTCATTTGAGGCAAGGACATCAAATTCAGAGATTATGTTGAGCAGTATGTATGTTGGCAAACCAAGCCCATAGCATCAAAAGTGTATAACACAGAACATTGCCCAACAGGCAGCAAAGTCAAGTGATGACTGCCAAGTAGTGGTTGTTTGGTCAAAGGCAGTGGGCCAGGTTTCCAGGATCAGGTTAGAATTAAATGATTAACTCACAGGGTTGGAAGAGCTCACTAGGATACCAAGCAGAATCCCAGTGCCCTAGAGGGATCCCCACAGACTGAAGCAGCTGCTGCTTCTGCTATAAGCCTAGATGCCAGTAATACAAGAACTAAATTCGCTTCTATTTCCTCAGCTTTCTAATGGTATGAAACACATGCCATGTTTTCACCCCATGTTTCGTCAAAACATACTTGGATTAGATTGCTTCTTTTTATTATAAAGTTTCGTTGTTAATATGTTTCAGAATTTCTCAATATGATGCTATCAACAGCCTGCCTGTCTCAACTCAAGTGGAGTAGACTTGAAGATAGTACATTTTGGCCACCTTCTTCACAGGGTATTTCAGGCAGTAGCATTACGACTTTCTGGAAGAGCAGGGACGTCACAGCAAATGCCCTGCTTTTCTTTCCTAGGTTCCGCTTGTCAGGGTCTGTCTTATGCTGCTCCACCCTACTCTAAAAGCTTTAAAACAAGATTGCATTCCCGGCCTATACCACAGTATAAGCACAATATAAATAGTGGTTAGCAGTTTTCAAAGTGGTATCACCTTATTTTCTCATTTCTGCTTTAAATTCTCCTTTAAATTTAAATCCACTTCAGATTGTAGAGTGATTGTTATTGTCACTGTAGAGATGAGAAAAGGAGGCTCAGAAGATTGAAAGTTGGCCGGGCGCGGTGGCTCACGTCTGTAATTCCAGCATTTTGGGAGGCCGAGGTGGGCAGATCACGAGGTCAGGAGATCGAGACCATCCTAGCTAACACAGTGAAAACCCGTCTCTACTAAAAATACGAAAAACTAGCCAGGCGTGACGGTGGGCACTTGTAGTCCCAGCTACTCGGGAGGCTGAGGCAACAGAATGGCGTGAACCTGGGAGGCGGAGCTTGCAATGAGCGGAGATAGCGCCACTGCACTCCAGCCTGAGCGACAGAGCAAGACTCCGCCTCAAAAAAAAAAAAAAAAAAAAAAAAAGATTGAAAGACTTCCTCAAGGGTACATAGTTAATAAGAGAAAAGCAATTCTTGACCCCAAGTCTGTCATTTGCACCTCCCGACTTTCCTTGTTGCTTGGTGTAGTTATAGTGTGTCCTTCTCCAGAATATAAGCTAGGATGCTCTGCATCGCCTCTGGCACGTAATTCAGTAAGATACACATAATACGTAAGCAACAATCTGTAGAGTATCTGAATTACCAATCCCAAAATACTATCATACAAATGGAAAATTCATTTCTTAAGATCAACAAATATAAAATTTAACTGTAAGCAATATAAGTGACTTTGATTAGAGAAAACCACAATATTAGTGTCAGAGAAACAGAGGCCAGTTTTTCTTTTCTTTTTAAATTGAAAATGTAATACATCATTGATGCCCTGAACCTTAGTTGTCTGAAAAACAAAATAACATGAAGAGAGTGTCTCTATATTCATTAATTCGGCTGGCATTTATCAAGAACCTACCTGAGAAAGGCACCACTTAGGCCGATACAGGACACGTATTTGTATGGGTAGAAGATGCAAGGAAGAAGAAGTTCTACTTCCCTCTCTTGAGGGGCATAAACTACCTTGTGAGCAAAAACTCAAAACATAACTAGCACATTTTATATACCTACTGTGTGCAAGGTATGTTGTTGAATACTTAATAGGCCTTTCTTTATTTTACAGATCAGTAATCTGAGCACAAAAATTAAATCAAACAGTAAGCCCAGTTGCCTTGTACGGAAGTCAGAATGAGTTTAAATCAAAATACACTTAAGGCAAAAGAAAATAACCTGATCAAGCACAACTTACTGGCCCCTTGTCCCAAGTTATTCGCTTCTTACGTATTTTCTTCAGTTTATATTCCCCCCCCCATTTTTTTTTTTTTTTTTTTTTTTTGAGATAGAGTCTCACTCTGTGACCCAGGCTAGAGTGCAGTGGTGCAAACTCTGCTCGCAGCAACCTCCGCCTCCCAGGTTCCAGGGATTCTCCTGCTTCAGCATCCCCAGTAGCTGGGACTACAGGCACCCACCACCACGCCTGGCTAATTTTTGTATTTTTAGTAGAGATAGGGTTTTGCCATGTTGACCAGGCTGTTCTCGAATTTCTGACTTCAAGTGATCCATCCGCGTCGGCCTTTGAAAGTGCTGGGATTACAGGCGTGAACCACTGCACCTGACACTACGTTTATTTTCTACCCAATCAATCATAAAGCCCCCAAATATTTCACAAATAAACTGGTAAGGGTCACCAAACCAGGAGAACAAGAAATAGTCCCCCAAATAAGTATGAATAAGAGATTCTTTTAACAGCTGTGTTTGTCATTCTTAAACAGAGCAAAAAATCTGATTCACTAAATAAAATACTATATGACAAAGATAAAAGGAAAATATTCATTACCCAATATATCCTGTGTGTGCAGAATGAGGATCATTACAGCAGGGAATGTAGGAAATAGGATGGAGATTAGCGCAAGAAGAGTTCTAAAGATCTTTACAGGGATAATTATGCTAGAGAACAAGGACAAACAAGTAGCATCATCCCCAGGACTTCTATATCCCATTGTCACAACACAGTACCCTTGTCCTGACAGCATCAATAGTTGTGTAGTTGCCACATAGAAGCCACTATAAATATAGCCATACCTCATTAATCAGTAAGAATATCTGCACCTATTACTCATGCAGGGAATAATGATTTAGCAGCTGTGCATGCTAGAATAAGGTATGTGTGAGAGTTAGAAAAATAGGGATAATGCTTATATCATTTTGACAGAGACTCAAAGTTTTATGATTTATTCTATACCCTATAGGAATAAATACAAATGATCTCTCCAGAAGAAAGTAAATAATCACTTTTTTCCTTAAAAAAAAAAGGACAAGGCTGTTAATAATTGTTTTTTACCTTAAAAAAATGCACAGGGCTGTTAACATTTTGGTGGCATATATTTTGTTAATCAATAAAATAACTATAAAATAAATTGCTTCATTGCTGTAGTTTCATTTAAAGGTTTTCTCTGGCTTCAAAGTGTACATCAGTTCAATGGATTTTTTAAATAACGCAACTTCTCTGTGATTAAATCTCCAGTGATCTCCATTGTCTTATTGAGGATCAATGTTTTGTGGTACTGAAAAAAGACAAGAGCCAGACTGCTCGAGTTCAAATTGTAGTTCTGCAGTTCATAGCTGTGGGACTTTTCTTTATTTCACTGAAATTTTTCTGTTCAACATGAAGAGAGTGTCTTTTTTTTCATTCATTCAGCAGGCATTTATCAAGAACCTACTTGATATAAGCACAACTAAAGCCTGTACATGACACATATTTCTTTTTTTGTTTGTTTTTTTATTTTATTATTATTATACTTTAAGTTTTAGGGTACATGTGCACAACACGCAGGTTTGTTACATATGTATACATATGCCATGTTGGTGTGCTGCACCCATTAACTCGTCATTTAGCATTAGGTATATCTTCTAATGCTATCCCTCCCCCCTCTCCCCACCCCACAACAGTCCCCAGTGTGTGATGTTCCCCTTCCTGTGTCCATGTGTTCTCACTGTTCAATTCCCACCTATGAGTAAGAACATGTGGTGTTTAGATTCAATGAAGAACAAGTCCTACTGCCCTCTCTTTGACTTTCTCATTCCTCAGTTCCTTCACTTCAGTATTTTAAAGTTGTCCACTTTCTCTCTTCAGTACATAAAACTCATTCCTGCCCCAATTCATGGGACTATGCTCTCCATCTCTCCGGATTCATTCACAGCCAGACTTCCTGAGTGATCTGTGCTCATTATTCTTCTTCCTCCGGACCTTCCCAATCCTACTTAGGCAAACCTGGTTTCTGCCACCAACATTTCACTGAAAATATTCTTACGCTTGTCCACAAAACCTCTAGGTAAATTATCCAATGGACATTTTTTATTCCTCACCTTATTTTTCATGTGTCACCATTTGGCAAAATGTTCTATTTCTTGCATTCTTACTCTCTCAATTTCCATGACAATATGTTCTTTCAGTTTTTCTCCAAAATTCACTTGTTGTGTTTTTCTCCTTCAGTTCCTTATTAATATATTATTGTCTTAGATCACTCATAGCTAAAGTTCTTTAGAAGAGGACACTGAGATGAAGACTGGAATGATGTGCTATTTAGGGATCCTTGCCTGTGATAAGAAGGGAAGAATGCAGCATTGTGTAGATGGGTAGAAAAGGAATGGCTATAAAAACTATTAATGCATACAGACGTCGGTGGGGGGTGGTGTTAAGATGACATACTACAAGCAGCTCATGTGCATAGCTCTCATGGAGAGGAAACAGAAGGGCTAATGAACACTGACCCTGCAGGCAGATCATCTGAGAAACCATGTCGGGATTTATTAGGGAAGCAGGGGAGCACATAGCACAGAGAGAAATGACAGAAAGGAGGAGGAACTCTTTCTTAACTAATTCTATGAATCTGGTATCATTCTGATAGCAAAACATGGCAGAGACACAATAAAAATAGAAAATTTCAGGCCAATACCCTTGATAAACACAGATGCAAAAATCCTCAATAAAATACTAGCAAACCAGATCCAGCAACAGATCAGATCAAAAAGCTAATCCACCACAATCAAGTAGGCTTTATACCTGCAATGCAATGTTGGTTCAACATACACAAATTAATAAATATGAACTAAAAACAAAACCTACATGATCATCTCAATGGATGCAGAAAATAATTTTATAAAATTAAATATCCCGTCATGTTAAAATCTCTCAATAAATTAGACACTGAAGGAACATACTTCAAAATAATAAGAGCCATCTGTGACAAACCCACAGCCAACGTCATACTGAATGGACAAAAGCTGGAAGCATTCCCCCTGAAAACCAGAACAAGACAAGAATGCCCTCTCTTACCACTCCTGTTCAACCTAAGTACTGGAAGCCCTAGCCAGAACAATTAGGTACAAGAAAGAAACAAAAGTCATCCAAACAGGAAGAGAGGAAGTCAAACTATCCTTGTTTGCAGAAGATATGATTCTGTATCTAGAAAACCACATAATCTCTACCCAAAAGCTCCTTGATCTGAAAAACAAATTCATCAAAGTTATAGAATAAAAAATCAGTGCACAAGCAAAAGAAACTATCATTAGGGTGAACAGGCAACCTACAGAATGGGAGAAAAATTTTGCAATCTATCCATCTGACAAAGGGCTAATATCCAGAATCTACAAGATACTTAAATAAATTTACAAGAAAAAAATGAACAACTCCATCAAAGAGTGGACAAAGGGTATGAACAGACAAATCTTAAAAGAAGACATTTATGCAGCCAATAAACATATGAAAAAAACTTCATCATCACTGATCATTAGAGAAATGCAAATCAAAACCACAATGAGATAACATCTCACGGCAGTTAGAATGGCAATCATTAAAAAGTCAGGAAACAACAGATGCTGGAGAGGATATGGAGAAATAGGAATGCTTTTACGCTGTTGGTGGGAGTGTAAATTAGTTCGACCATTGTGGAAGACAGTGTGGTGATTCCTCAAGGATCTAAATCTGGAAATACCATTTGACCCAGCAATTTCATCACTAGGTATATACCCAAAGGATTATAAATCATTCTACTATAAAGACACATGCACACGTATGTTTATTGCAGCACTGTTCACAATAGCAAAGACTTGGAACCAACCCAAATGCCAGTCAATCATAGACCGTATAAAGAAAATGTGGCACACATACACCATGGAATACTATGCAGCCATAAAAAAGGACAAGTTCATGCCCTTTTCAGGGACATGGATGAAGCTGGAAACCATCATTCACAGCAAACTAATGCAAGAACAGAAAACCAAACACCACATGATCTCACTCACAAGTGGGAGTTAAACAATGAGAACATATGGGCATAGAGAAGGGAGCGTCACACATTGGGGCCTGTTGGGGGTTGCGGGGCAAGGAGAGGGATAGCATTAGGAGAAATGCCTAATGTAGATGAAGGGTTGATGGGTGCAGCAAACCACCATAGCACATGTATACCTAAGTAACAAACCTGCACATTCTGCACATGTATCCGAGAACTTAAAGTATAAAAAAAAATAAAAACTAAAAAAAATCAGTGTACGAAAACTAGTAACATTTCTATACACAGACAACATCCAAGCTGAGAGCCTAATCAAAACACAATCCCCTTCAGAATAGCCACAAAAAGAAAATACCTAGGAATATAGCTGATCAAAAGACCTCTACAATGAGAATTATAAAATACTGCTGAAAGAAATCAGAGGTGACCACATTTTCCATGACTGGTTGAAGACATTATTTGCCTTTTGATTGCCAATGACTTGAATGACAAGATTGAACTTCCTTTCCCACTGGTTGTCAAACATAACAAATTCCAAACTACTCTGTTTAACATAGTTGCTTGAAAGAAAGCTATATATTTTCTAGTTTCTTGAAAGAAAGCTACATATCTTCTCATGTCTAGAGGACATGAGAGTTTTCTTTACAAATAAATTTGTAACATAGTTGCAATCATAGTTTAATTAAGTAGAAGATAAATTTTCTGGAAAACTTATCAGGATGATTCTTTCCTTTCTTCTTTGTAATGAACTGTATTGCACCAGCAAGCACATTTATCTCTTTGTGGAAAAAAAATGCAGAAATTTATAAAAGGAGAAAAATAGTATTTATTGAATGAGCTAATGTGAAATATCTTTTACATTGGTGCTACAAAATCACATATTAAAAACATGCTTCAGTCAATTGTATTGTTTAAAATAGTTTATCTTCTAATGGGCCTTATTCAATAATAAAGTACAACTTACAGAACATTCAACACCTCCTAGAGCCTAAAAATGGTTATGTATTTAGCCAGTATAATTTCTTCTGAGGTTTATATAATTTATTGTAAATTTCAGGGTTTCATAAAGGGAGAATCAATTATACTTGTAAACCCTACGTATTACACAAAGTAAATGGTTGACAAAGAACATAAAATAGAAAATTTTGTAAGTCCAAAATTATCTAATATTTTTTCATTGGTCACAAATGTCTGGCTCTCTGAAAATATTTTCAAAACAAACAATGTACATACACATCCAAATCACTACCACCAGACGTAAGCACTACAGTTGCCTCCAAAATATTATAATCCCATCAGTTATCAAATGTCTGCATATATGTGTACATTTTTATGGAAATAATTGACAAAGAATTATAAAATGAATGAATCTATATTAAATGAATATGTAGAATGCTGAAAAATAAAAAAAAAAACAACTCAAAGTTTTCTTTTGGCTTATAGTAAGTCATTACCAAACCGTTGTAAGGTACAGTGGTAGAAAAAAGAAAATAATTTGTATCTTAGAAAAAGCACATAAAATGTGGCATGTTGGTACAACTTGTAAAAACTTTTACAATTTTAAAATCTTAAGAATACACCCCTCCACCATAACAAATAAATAACATGCTTCCAACAATGTAACTGAAATTGCCTACAAACAAAATTTATAGATAATTGAGGTTTCAGAAAATGTGTTTGACTACCTCTCTTAAGAAAACCACCATTTTCAAAGAAAACAATATCTTTTTGGATATATAATATAATCTATACATACTACATATTATAACTATATGTAAGGTAACATATATTTGGATTATATATGTATATATTTTTATCAGCCCTACATTTTAATGCACTAAATCTTTAATAATTCAAACTAAAATTGTGTAAAATGAAGACCATTTATTGCATTCTTAAATAGCTATAAATCATTTACATTTCTACCTGTACTATATACATTACAAAATAACTAAGTAAATATAATTCAAATAATATCACAGCAGACTATGAAATTTTATCCCAGCAGACTACAAAACCTGAATTAAAAGATGTTGACAGACTATATGTTCTAATAACAAAGGAAATTGACAATTAGGATAACTGCTTGATTGAAAGCAAACAAATAAATGTGATCTGAGATAATGTACTGAGTATAATTTATTTTTATCTTAATCAGATAAAGGCAAGTATTTTCATAGAACATAATAACAACGTAATTTCAATGCTGCAACTGTAATTTAAACAATAAAACAGGCCATATAGTAATTCATTGGATTTTAAGATTTTACATTTTTAAGTGTAATTTTAGCTTCACAGCAACATCGAGAGGAAAGTACAGAGATAACCCACATAGTCCTTCTTCACATATGCAAACCTCCTTATTATCAACCTCCCCCACTAGAGTGGTACATTAGTTACAATTTATGAACTTAAAGTAAAACATCATTATCATCCAAAGTCTATAGTTTTTATTAGGGCTCACTCTCGTTGTTCTACTTTCTGTGAGTTTGGACATGTTCTTAATAATGTTTATCTACCATTATAGAATTACATAGAGTATTTTAATTTCCCTGAAGATTCTCTATGCTTTACCTATTTATTCCTCCTTTCCCCCAACCCTTGGTAACCACTGATCCTTTAGGTGTATTTGCCTTTTCCATAATGTCATATAGTTGGACTCATATACTATGTAGCCTTTTCAGATGAACTTTTTTCACTATATGCCTATGGCTATATGCATTTAAGTTTCCTCCGTGTCTTTTCATGACTTGATAGCTCATTTATTTTTAGCACTGAATAATATTCCATTGTTGGGATGTACCACAGTTTATTTATCCATTCACCTATTGAAGGACATCTTGGTTGCTTCCAAGTTTAGTAATTGTAAATAAAATTGCCATAAACATCTGTGTGCAGGGTTTGTGTGGAAATTCCTCCAATATCTAAAGTACATGAAGGAATCCATATATACTCCTGATCCATGTATATGCTACGCACAAATTTTTTCTTTCCCCTTTTCACAGTTTCACAGATAGAAGACTCATTCTTACTATAGATCTTTGCAACTTCAACATGAAATTATTTTTCCTTACTGTGTAGAATACTTTCACCTTTTTACTTAAAACACTTTACAGCATTGTTTTCACATATCTCAATTGTCAGCATCACTACTTTTAAGTTTTGGGGGCTTTATTAAGTAAAATAAAGGTTTCTTGAACACAAGCACTGCAATGCCAAAGCAGTCGACCTAATAACTCAAATGGCTATTAACTGGCAGGTAGCAAATATAATGTGGGTACACTGGACAAAGGGATAGTTCAGGTCCCAAGCCAAATAAAGTGGGATGGCATCACACTACTCAGAATGACTCACAATTTACAGCTTATAAATTCTTTCAAAAAGTTGTCATTTAATATTTTCAGACAGACTTAGCTGAACTGAACCACAGAAAGTAACACTGCAGATAAGGGGGAACTGCTTTATCTTGTTTTAATTTTCATTTCTCTGATGACATGTGATGTGGAGTATCTTTCATATACTTGGTGTCATCTGTATATCTTATTTGGTTAAGTGTCTGTTTAGGTTTTTGGCTCATATTTTAATCAGGTTGTTTTCTTAGGGTTGGGTTTTAAATGTTCTTTCAATGTTTTGGATAATAGTCCTTTATATGTCTTTGCGAATATTTTCTCCCAGTCTGTGGCTCATGTCTTATTATCTTGACAATGTCTTATGCAGTGCAAAATCTTTTCAACAAAGTCCAGCTTATCTATTTTTTATCTTATGGAGTGTGCTTTTGTGTTGGAGCTAAAAAGTCACGGGCAAACCACAGGTCATCTAAGTTTTCTCCTATGTTATTTTCTAGTGGGTTTTGGTTTTGAAATTTACATTTACATATGTGATTTATTCCAAGTTAATCTTTGTGAAAGTGTAAAACTTTTATCTAGATTCAGGCTTTGTGTGTGTGTGTGTGTGTGTGTGTGTGTGTGTGTGTGTGTGGATAGATGTCTAATTGTTCCAGCACCATTTGTTGAAAAGATTATCTTTGCTCCATCATATGCCTTTTGCATAGTCATGATAAATTGAGTATATTTATGTGACTGTACTTTAGGGCTCTGTATTCTATTATATTGATCTATTTGTCTATTCTTTTACCAATACCCCACTATTTTGATTATTCTAGCATTTTTGTAAATCTTGAATTTAGGTAGTGTCAATCCTCCAACTTTATTCTACTCTTTTAATATTGTTTAGCTATTCTTGGTCTCTTGTCTTTCCATATAAAGTGTAGAATGAATTTGTTGATATCAATGAAGTAAATTGCTGGTATTTTTATTGGGATTGCATTATATTTATCGATAAGTTAGGCAGACCTTACATCTTGACAATATTAAGCCTTCCCATTCATGAATAAGAATTATTTATTTAGTTATGATTTCTTTCATTACAGTTTTTATATATTTTGTCAGATTTATCCCTAAGTATTTAATTTTTATGGTGCTAATGTAAATGGCATTATATTTTAAATTTCAAATTCTATTTGTTCTTTTCTGGCATATAAGCAAGTGATTTGCTTTTGTATATTAACATTATATCATGAAAATTTGCTGTAATTGTTTAGGCTTGTTTTATTTTTCAAATTTTTTTATTAAAAATATAGACTAGTGCTTCTTCCTTTTATAAATTATACTCTAAAAAGACACTTCCAGCTGCCCAATAGACTTTTAGTTTCAAGCTAATATATTTCTAGACTTTAAATCATTTTTCTTAAAACAAGAAAGAGATTAAACATCCCTTGTCTTGATATAAAGGGCTCCAAATTAAAGATGACATAAAATGATCGATAAATAAAAGAGTTCATATTTTAGGGATTTAAGGGAACGAACAAGGAAAGTATATAAACATGTAACCATAAATGTTCTTCTCAACATTGGTTACAACAATAAAAAATGTAATGCAATTCAATTGTCAACACTAGAAGACTGATAAAACAAATTATTTCAATACCCAAAAGGGGTTAAAATATGCTAATAAATACTTACAAAGGTAAATATATTCACATTTTATTTAAAGTATACTTTATCAGTTTGAAGAGTGTTGAAAAGCAATGTTTAAAATATAGTGATTCTAAAGGCTTGACCCAGGAAGCACACCAAAGTTGGCACCACAAGCATGAAGCAAGGCTTAGGCAAATGACTCTATTATATATATCTAGCAATAATATTAGTTACTTTCAGAGATAACCAAAAAACATATCAAAACATTAATGATTAACTGTTAAGCAAATATGTCATATTTTGCTTGTACATGGAAGGGATAAATTATAACATATGTTTCTAATTTATTTAATCTTTGTTTATTGAAAGCACACCTCTACTTTTTCTGAAGGTTATTTTCATAAATATATTTTGTGGAAGCACCTTATAAGAGATTGTCACCCAATGATTCATTATGCTATTCTGCTAGAAAAACTGATTCACTTAATCTGTGTTTTCTCCTTTGTGACCATGAACCAGAGATAATTACTATTTTTTGCAAATGAAGTTTAGTTCTAAAAGAGGAATAGTCTTCCCAAAGGCAGAGGAACTTTGAGAGTGCAACATTCACCATTCTGGCTGTGAACGTCACCCTCTATAAGCAAATCTGACAAATAAACCTGGTCTCCAAGCTATCTACTTTCCTGACCATCTGTTTGTATGGCATGGTGCCCTCACTCAAAGGGCACTGCCAATTTTGTTTTGAAAAATAAAATACAGTCAAGTTAAGGTGACTAAAACTGCCTCCGCAGAAGCAGGACCTGCATTGCATAGATATGCATACTTGGTTTTCATTTTGGTTTTGTTATTTTTGCTCTTGCATTTCCTTTACTAGAGAGGAGAGGAGAGGATATGCTAAATGAATACTCAGATAACATGGGGACAAAAAAAGACTCGGAACGAAATAAACTATTACTTTCTCAATAAAACCAGCAATGTGTGAAATTACATGTATCAGTATATCAATACGATGGTCATTCTCAACAGCATCATCCACATTTACCAACTCATACCCTTTATTAAAAACAAATAAAAAAAACACCTTAAAGAAATAAATTAATGAGAGTGAGATAAAGAGAGCCCAAGCCTCGCTTCACAAAACACTTTACAATTAGAGATTAGGCAATTGAAGAACACATTGGTAGTGTGCCTATGAGATATTAGAGTCAATCAGCAGGTACTTCACTCAAATTAAGTCCCTTGAAAGACATCACCATATAATCTAACATTCACAGAGAAATAAAAGTGATTTTGACCATATACCTTTCATAATATTGTTTTGACTTCACAATTTTTTTTTCCAAGAAGCTCAAGTACCTGGTTAATACGCAATAAAACTACAAACCTTAGTAGATCATTAAATTTAATTGAGTTTGATTTGTTTCTTTACTCTTTCAGTATATCTGTTTGTCTTATTCCAAAAATACAATCACATTAAACTCAAATACATGCTTTATAAAGGTTTTCTGTTTCTACTTATATTATGCTTACAGAATATTGGCATTATACACTTTCATTAATGAGAAACAGGACAAATAACTTCCCACTAGTCTTTCTTCTCAGAGGTGTGGAAGGTTGTAGGCCAGTCTTTACAGATCTGTCATTCACATGCTACCTATAATAAAATGCATAATGGCTTTTTCTCAAGAATCTCAAGAATCTATATTGTATGAGAACACATGGACACAGGGAGGGGAAAAGCACACACCCAGTCTTGTCAGCAGTGGGAGGGGTTAGGGGAGTGAGAGCATCAGGACAAATAGCTAATGCATGCGGGGCTTACAACCTAGGTGATGGGTTGATAGGTGCAGCAAACCACCATGACACATGTATACCTATGTAACAAACCTGTAAGTTCTGAACCTGTTTCTTGGATCTTAAAGTAAAAAAATAAAAAAATAAATTTAAAAAAGGCCATCCTAAAACAAACAAACAAACAAACAAACAAATAATCTACATCGTAAATAGGAAAAAATTTCTTGCTAAATGTTGCTTTGTTCATAATGTTTACTTTTTGATATAGGCTCCTTATTTCCCTCAAGGTATATATCTTGTGTTATATCTCATTTAGAGACACTCGGAGGTAGAATTTTTCACTCTGTACCACTTAACCCATCCATTTATCCATCCATCTATCCATGCGTCCATCCACCACTTCAAATTTCTTTAAGCCCTACTGCCATGGACTGTGGAGAACACCCTGATAATAAGCAGCCCTTGTTAAATGCTGATGAGAATGATGCAGTAATAGGCCGCTGACCCGAGAGAGTTTAGGAAGATTTAAAAAAGTAACTAGGCCGGGTGTGGTGGCTCACACCTGTAATCCCAATACTTTGGGAGGCAAAAGTGGGCAGATTACCTGAGATCAGGAGTCTGAGACCAGCTTGGCCAATATGGTGAAATCCCTACTAAAAATACAAAAAATTAGCTGGACGTGGTGGTGCACACCTGTAATCCCAGCTATGCAGGAGGCTGAGGTAGGAGAGTCACTTGAACTCAGGAGGCAGAGGTTGCAGTGAGACGAGATTGTGCCACTGCACTCCAGCCTGGGTGACAGGGTGAGACTCCATCTCAAAAAAAAAAAAAGTATCTAAATCCCTGAGAAGGTTAATATGGATGTTTTTCAGAATTAAGAACCAATTTCTTCATTGTAAAAAGAGGAAGAGAAGTGATGATAGCACAAACAATTGTTGGATTACCTGTTTGACTATGGAAAGTTAGGGAAACAGTTCTCTAATACCTTCTATTTGTTCAGTGAAGAATGATTGAAGGCCATCAACTAAAATTCACATAGGACAAGAGATGAGTGGAAAATTGGAATCAAGGTGTGAAAAAGTGTTGTGAAATAAGGCAGAGTGAATTTACTACAGAAAAACAAAAGGGATCTCAGGGAAGTATTGAGGACCCATTTGAGTTACCAGAATAAAGTCAGTACCACCCACCTTTCTGATTATGTGTTTTTCTGTAGCAACAATTAGCTACTTGGACAGCTGGTTAAACCAAGCTTAGGTTTTCTCAAGTAAATGCAACAGAGTTGAGAATATTTGTGGAAGAGTTACAATAATTATCAATAGGGAATCGAGGCTAGATTAGAAGGGAATACAATAAAGGCAACAAAGGAGTTAGTCTGGTGAACCTTGTGTAACATTTGCAATGCCCATAAAACATAGTAGACATTGAATAATAATGTAAAATGCATCCTTTTATAGTTGTTTCTGCATTAAGTTCAGTTTTGGTTTTTGTCTGTATTAATGAGCAATATGGGCATACTCAAAGGCAAAGATTCAATTGCCTGTCCGCACTCTGGGAGTTTTGAGAAGCTATAGGTAGCTATACGAACCCATGTATGTATGTGAGCATGTACTACACAGCATGTATACACATGTGTAGTATTTACATAATCGGTATGCCTCAGCACACATGCTAGACTAATATTTAAAAAAATCCCACAGCTGTTCATAATTCAATATTCACTAAATTATATATTTTCTTTTTTGCCATTTAGGTATTTTTATTATTTTAATTAACACATAATAATTGTACATATTCATAAGTTACAGTGTAATATTTTGATACAAGTATGCATTGTGTAATGATCAAATAAAGGTATTCAACATATCCATCACATCAAACATTTATCATTTCTTTGTGGTGGAAACATACAAAATCCTCTCTTCTAGCTATTTTGAGATATACGCTATCTTATCAATTACCATAGTTACCCCACTGTGCATTAGGACATCAGAACTTATCTTTTTTAATTAAAACTCATATCTGTTAATCATCCTCTCCACATTCTCCTCTCCAACTTCCCTCCCATTCTCTGGTAATCACTGTTTTATTAACCACTGCTATGAGATTAACGTTTTAGATTCCACATATAAGTGAGAATATGTGGTATTCAGCTTTCTGTGTCTTGCTTATTTTACTTAATATACTTAATAAAATGTCCTCCAGGTTCTTCCCTGCTGTTGGCAATGACAGGATGTCTTTCTTTTTATGGATGGATAGTATTCCATTGTGTATATATACTATATTTTCTATAACCATTTATTTGTTGTTAAAAATAAAACTCCATTCATCTGTTTTTGAACATTAATTACTTAGGCTGATATCTTGGCTATTATTAATAGTGTTGCCAAAAATACAGAAGTGCAGATATATCTTTGACATACGGATTTCACTTCCTTTGGCCATATACCCAGTAATGGTTGCTGCATCATGTGGTAGTTCTAGCTTTAATATATGAGAAACTTTTATTTCTTGTAAGGTCATTCAAGTGGTCCTGGATTCCTTAAGCTTTTGCTGGTTTGAAAGTACTTTATTTCTCCTCCATGTCTGAAAAATGACTATGCTGGATACAGTATTCTTGGTGAATAGGTTTTTTGTTGTTGTTTACTTGTTTGTTTTCCTTTCAGCCCTTTGAATGTATGTTCAGCACTTTGAATATATGTTCTCCTAGCCTACAACGTTTCTGCTGAGAAATCTGATGCTAGTCCAATGAGGATTCCATTATTGGCTTTAGCGTTTTATTTTGCTTCTTTAGCATTCTCTCTGTCTTTGACCTCTGGCAATTTGATTATAATTTGCCTCTGAGAAGACCTTTTGGGATTGAATATATCTGGAGATCTTTGAGCTACTGGGATCTAGATGTCTACATATCTCTCCAGACTTGTGTAGTTTTCCACTATTATATTTTAAATATGTTCTCTGTACCTTTCTCCATCTCTTCTCCTTCTCAAATATTAATAATACAAATGTTTGTTTGCTTATTGATGTCCAATAAGTCTAGTAGGCTTTCTTTATTCTTTGTTATTCTTTTTCCTCCCTCTGTCTAGGTCATTTCAAAAGACTAGTCCTCAAATTCAAAAATTATTTCCTCTGCTTAATCTAGTCTGCTGTTGAAGCTGCCAAAGCATTTTTATTTCACTTATTGAATTCTTCAGTTCCAAGATTTCTATTTGCCTTCTTATAAAATAATATCTATCTCTTTGCTGAATTTCTCATTCAGGTCATAAATTGTTTCCCTGATTTTGTCATTTACTTGTACTCTATTCTATCTGGCTGAGATTTCCTAAGATCATTATTTAGAATTCTTTGTGGGCATATTCTAAGTTTCCTTTCCTCATGACCTTTTGAATAATTACAGTATTGTGTTTCTTCGGAACTATTCTTTTTTTGTTGTTGTTTTATGTCTTTTGTGTCCCTCCATTGACATCTGCACAAGTGGTCAAATAGTCATCTCTCCCAATTTTATGGAACAACTTTTGGTAAGAAAACGTTTTCCTGATGTTAGGTTCTAGGGTGCCAGTTGGGTAGGATGTATTGACTTTGGTTCTATGTGGATGCATTATTGAAGTTACTGTGTAGTTTCTCTAGCTATAGTTCACATCAGTGATGGCTATGTATGCCTCAGTGGTGTAAGCTTTAGGAGCATCTGGTGGCAGTGTTGCAGCTTCATTGGGGGCAGTATACTGGGCTGGTTCTCAGGCCAGAGCTGTATACACATTATTGTGCACCCATAACCCGGGCCTGAAAAACATCCTAGTGTCCTACCACCATCAATCCAGTCCTCCAGTGCCAGCAGTTAACACTATGTTTATCATTGCCATTTGTTGCAAATATTTGTTCCTCCTTCCCACTCCATCCTGCCAAAAAATTTTTCATGCCAAATTCCTAAACCCCAGTGTGACTATATTTGAAGAACAGGCCTTTAAGATATTAATAATAATTTCGGTTAAATGAGGTTGCAAGGGTGGGACCCTGATCCTGTAGAATTAGTTTCCAGCTTGAGCTTGTGCTTGAGGACTGGTTTGCTGGGGATGGGGACACTGGGCTGTTTTTCAGGCTAGGATTATGGGTGCACAACAATTCAGCAGGCCCAGGTTTGGCTTTCCTGCTGTGTAGAACCATCTGTTCCTTGGGGTATAGAGCACTGCATGGTCTCAGGCACAAACATCACAGCCATTCCACTGAACCAAAGTTCTGAACAGCCAGAATCATGGCACAGCAACTACATGTGTGAGCATGGTTGAATGACGATGGAGCCTCAGGGATAAAGAGACACAGTAGATACTGGCCTCAGAATAGTGTGCAATCCAGAAGTGGCTTAAAATGTCACCATGTTTTAGCATTTTGGGTCAAGGAGTTTGGGAGGTAGTGCACAATGTGGGTTACTATTCTGGAGCAATGCAGTCATGTAAATTCCATGCAGCTCCCCAAACTGGGCTCAAGCCTCTAAGGACTGCAGGATTCTCCTGTACCACAAACTGAAAGTGTTTGCAGTGGCAATGGGAGCTGATAGGGGCTTCCTTTTTACCTTTTCTCCACAAGAGAAAGTCCCTGGAGGCCCTAAGCAGATCACAGTAGGGGAGATAAGGTGTGGCAAAGGCTAGATGCTTCACCCCTTTCTCTATGTTGCAATCCTGAGTTTCTGTTCTTCACAGGGTTTTTACTACTCCATTGCTGTGCTCAAATACCCTCTTTCAGAAACTGTAATCAAATTTTATTTGTTTGTTTGCTGTTTTGGTCTTTGTTTTTCTTTTGGAGGAGTAGGTATGTGAGCACCAGGCATCTGTAGTCAGCCATCTTGCTGATGTCTCTCTTTAGAATCTCTGTATTTTCTCTTATAAAGTTTACAAATCGTTTTTAGTAAGCAACCCCCAATGTTTTTGCACATAAATTTGATGAATGATTTATTATGAAGCCCTGTGTAGATGTCCCTTATGAAACTGAACATTTATAAAACTATTCCCCAACAATTCCACAAATACAACTGTGAAACTAATGATCCAAAAATTACTTTGTATGTGACAAAAATAAATTTAGTAAAATTTATCCCTTTAACATGAATTTATTATCGCAAAAATCTTTCCATTTATTGTAATGATTTAATAATTTTGCATATTATGATAAAAAATCCCCAAGTATATGAAGGTGAATACAAATGTAAAAGGAGACAGAGTGCTATTTTTCTCTATTGAAAAGCAGCTTCCCTAAAGAGAAATATCGTAGCTCATCAGAATCTGCACATTAAGACTTCATATAACTCCTCACAGAATTCGTTTGGTGTATTTATTTTATAAAAATGGATTTCTCTCAACAATACATGTTTAGTCTGTTACAAAAAAATACTGCTGCTAAGTTGCAGTTTAGCTTATATAAAGAAGCTTTCTATAGGAAGAAAAAACTGTCTAATAAGAAAATAGTAAATACTTTAATAGATTATTTATTTTTAGTTCGGAAATCATTTGGAAAACAACCAAAAACCTAGATACAACTATATTTACAACATTATTATACTGATACCCATACCTTATCTACTACCTTAAAGTTAACAATGAATTATCTTCTTCTACTAAAACTAACTTCTGGTGACCACAAAAATAATCAGTGCAGTATATAATAAACCTACAGAACTTTAATCATGAAATACTTGATTTTCATAGAAATTCTTAAATTTATAATGACCAAAATATCTGTTTTAGTCTGCCTTTTTTTAGACTTTAAACATTCCCTCTTTATGAAAAGAGAAATTTAATGTGTAAAGTGAATATAAACTCAAATAATCAAATAATTTCTTTGAATATTATACCTTTCAGATAACTAGCACTCTGTAATGTACAAAAGATATATCAAGAGTAGTAACGTTTACTTCTTAGAAAAAATTCATCTTTCTGTGTTTGCAGTTTACATAGATTTAAACATTGAGGGAAGGAAAGATGTCAGAAATACTTTTAAAAATTGGGAATTAAATATAAAATCTGATAAAAAATTAATTCAATTCTATGCATAAGATATTATCACAAATATGTTACTAATGCTAAAATAAGTTAATATGTTAGCAGTAGCTCTACTTTTAATTATGAATACAACCTGACAGTTTATTCTTTGTCTGTAAGCAATATATGCTATAAGCAACAACTTTTACCAATAGAATCTAGCTAAAGGAAATGTATTTGGATCTGAACAACACAACAGTATCTGTACCCATTAGCCTCTACACATGTATAAGTATCAAGTAGAAACCTTCTCAGAGTTATCTCCATTTGCTCCCACTCTTTGCAGCAACTTCTTGCATCCCTATATTCTAATCTTCTCTGAGACTTTATCTAGAAACAACGAGTTTGAGGTCAAAACATTAAGATATAATATTGAAGCCAACTTTATAGATGCAACAAGAACACCTAAGTAGTTCGATCAGAACATAAATGCTTTATTGTGGTGAATTAACTCTTTAATGTGCTGTTGGATTCAGTTTGCTTGTATTTTGTTGAGAATTTTTGCATCTATCTTTATCAGGGATATTGGCTGGTAGTGTGTGTAGGGAGGAGTGACTCTTCCTCAATTTTTTAGCATAGTTACCATAGGATTAGTACTAGCTCTTGTGGTAGAATTCAGCTTCAAATCCATCCAGTCCAGGGCTTATTTTATTGGTAGGTTGTTTATTACTGATTCAGATTTGTTACTAGTTATTGGTATGTTCATGGTTTCAATTTCTTCCTGGTTTAATCTTTGGAGGTTCTGTGTTTCTAGCAATGTATCCATTTCCCCTAGATTATCTAATTTGTGTGCATAGAGATACATAATAATTTCTGAGGATTTTTTATATTTTCATGTGATTGGTTGTGATGGTACTTTTATTACTTCTGATTGGGCTTATTTGAATCTTCTTTCTTCTTTTATTTGTTATTTTACCTAGCAATGTATCAATCTTGTGTGTTCTTTCAAATAACCAATTTGCCATTTCATTGGTCCTTTGTGTATGTTCATCACAGCAATACTCACAGTAGGAAAGACATGGAATTGACTTCAGTGCCCAGAAATGGTATATTAGATAAAGAAAATGTAGTACATACACACCATAGAATACTACACAAGCATAATAAAGAATAAAATCATGTGTTTTTTTGCAGCAACATGAATGCAGCTGGAGGTGGTTATCCTAAGCGAACTAATGCAGAAATAGGAAGCCAAATACTACATGTTTTCATGTTTACATGGGAGCTAAATCTTGGGTTCAAATCAGCATAAAATTGGGAGTTATAGACACTGGGGACTCCAAAAGTAGGGAGAGAAGGAGTGAGGCTTGAACTGAAAAACTTACTATTGGATACAATGTTCACTATAGGTTAATGAGAGCAATAGAAGCCCCAACCTCAGCACCACACAATATACCCTTGTAAGAAACTTGCACATATACCCCTTGAATCTAAAACAAAAATGGAATTATAAAACATAAATTTAAAAATGTGATTAAGAAAAAAATCATGAAAGCTGAGAGAAATACCTGTGGAGACAGAAGACAATCAGATCCATTTTGTGGGAAAGAGAAGCCTAACACGGAAGAGACTGGATTTCTAGGTAGATGGCAACATAGAATTAACTTTTTTTATGTTCCTTTGACTGTTTTATTACCTTGGAGGGCTCACTTTCTATCATATTTGATATGGGGAAGGAAAACAGTAGTACCTGTCTCTCGGTCACTGTCAGCTATGAAGTAGTATCAAAATTGTACCAGAGCTAGGGTCTGTTGGCAAGGAGATAATGAACAGAAACACAATTGGCTAAACATACTCTCTTCCATCCCTGCACGCCACACTGTCCTATAACTGGTTTTGATGATTTCAACCATGCAGAATCATTCTTAGAACATGTGTAATTTCTACATATGTAGGTAGAGGAAAAGTCTCTGAGGATCAAGAGGGGAAAAGTCTATCGCCTTATCCATAGCAAGTTTTTTTTCTTCTTCACCCAAGATCTCTCTCCCTTGTTGGCTGAATATTCACAGGCTAGACTCTGGTATTTCACCCCTCCCACTAACTCACATTATCTCACAAAGAAGCTGCCATGTTTAAGGAATCATGCATTTCCTGGGATAAACAACACAATATTTGGGGACCACAACTACCATGGAAGAGACAACTCACTGACCAAGTTATGTTAATGTTCCCTTCAGCTTGACTGAACATTAGATAGACTTCTCCCTGACTCTAGGCCCGTGAGATTCCTTTTCTTAGAGCAATTACTTTAAGAAACTTTCATTGGAAATTCTTTCTCTGTCCCTTTGAAATGTAATCTGTTTAAAAGCGTCCTGCCAGTTTTACAACCCAAGAACTTCCATCTTAAGGACATAGAAGCTGCTTATTTGAAATGTGATCAAAGGGAAGACAGTGTCCCAATTTCCCAGTTTCTGTGGGAGAGTGGGAGCCTCTCCCACAGAAACTGCGAAATTAAAGTACTTAAGCAGGTACCTTGTTCCAAGTTCTAAACTACTTCCTGTCATAAAGATACATTAAAGTATATTTTCCTTTGTATTAATCCAATTAACAAACAAAAGTAGCTTAAGACATCCCTCTCATTCCAGCTATTAATAAATCCTACTACTATTATTTTAAAAGAGTTGAGTTCAGAGTAATATTCTGGTCTCTCTCTCCCCTACTATAATAGGCTTGAATAGAGTCTCCCTTGCCTAATTAACATTGTCTGGTGCAATTTTTGCTTCGACACAATGCATGAAAAAATAAGCAGAATTGATGGCCTAGAGTGAATTATAATTTAAATAAACATAAAAGTAAATTTAATGGGATAAAAATGTTACGAGATACACAAAGCAAAAACAATGCCGTAAAAGTGACCAATTAGAGTCATTGGGTATGAAAATATAATAATTGAAATAAATTATTCAATAGAGAGATTAAATAGCAAAATAGATACTGCCTTAGGGCAAATGAAAGAGCAAAAAATGAAGATCAAGAAATTCAACCAGAACAATATCAGGAAGAAGTAGAGTGGAAAACATAAAATAAAACTTGAGATATAAAATGCAAGGCTCAGAGGTAGGACAATAGAGAATTGTAACACAATATTATTAGGAATCCATAGGCAAATAACAGCTTAAAATGTCATAGGCTTAAAAATTAACAAAACAAATTATAACAATACAAAGATAAATGTGAACCCATGAGAAAAATGTGTGAAATAAATATATACAAAATAAGTTATATCAAAAATTTATGCAACTTGTTAATGCAGTAGTGAGAAGGGAATTAGAGCTTTAAATATATTATTAATTTAAAAAACAGAAATAAATCTTGAATATATTATTTATCACAAAGTATATAGAAAGAGTTATACATTTAACCCAACAACCAGAATAATGGCAAAAGGAATATCAAAGAAATGTGAAAAGATAACAATGTATGAGATGGCATATATATTAAAGTAAAAACAAAACAAATTTAGAAAACAAATGATGGTAATATAAAATACTATATAATTTTTAAAATTTCTGGCAAGATTCATAATAGCAATAGAGTGAAAATGCAAATATAGAATGAAAAATATTAAATAGCTAAAGACAAACATACTTTCAACAACAAAGTAACCAAATTTCTTGAAAAACGTAAGATGTCAAAATACATAACAATGAACTAAAATAGATGAAAAATAGATACTGAAAAAAATGGTTATGGTAGTCATAATCTACCTTACCAAAATAAACATAATGTCTGCATGATATTTTTAGGTGATTTCTAGCAGTGTTTCAAATATTTAATCCAATTTATATGAGTTGACACAGATAATAAAAGAAATAAGTAAAAGAAAATATGAGGGAGATATGTCCACTTTGGAGTATGTGGCCAGTATACATTTAAAAAAATGTAGAAAAACTATAGGCCGAATGAATATGTAAATATACATGATAAAACAGATAAACAGAACTCTTGCTAATTCTATGCACCAATGCATCAGAAATTATAGATTATGATCAAGTAGGGCATCACTATCATCTCTTGCCTGCAAAATTGTGAAATTCTCCTAGTTGGTCTTCTTACTTCCACCCTCCACCTCCATATAGTCTCTTCTCTATCTGGCAGAGCTCTTTGTAAAGCAGGCCTAAGTTCATGCCCACTCCTCTCCTTAAAACCTTTATTATCTTCACATCTTATTCATAGCAAGAGCCAAAATCCTTCCTAGGCTTATAAGGTACTGCACCATATACCTCCTTCCCCCTTTACATGCCTATTTTCACCTCCTCCCACCACTACTCAGCTTGTTGGTCACTCTGTGTCAGTCTCACTTGTCACTCTGCTCAAACTCCCAAAGCCTGTTCCAGCCTTGTCACCCATTCCTTCTGCCTGAAATGCTCTTCCTCCAGCTACTCTATTGGCTTATTCTTCTATTTATGTAAGTTTCTTCTTAAATATAACACCAGAATCATCTTCTGTAACAAATGCAGAGAAGTGTAGGTCCCTACGCACCTTGGCATTGCCTATTATCTTTTTTTCTCCCACAGCACCAGTCAAAATATACTTCTATGAGATCAGGTACTTTGTTTTGTCCACTGACATATGTCAGTATTGGTAGAGAAAATAGTCAAAAAGTAAAAATGGAAAATACATAAAAATCCAAATGGGTAAGAAGTACGTGAAAGGTGGTTAGGAACACATACCCTAGAAACAAAGAGCTCGGTTTGAATCTCACTTCTACCATTGATTAGCCATGTGATGAAGAACAGATTGCTTAACTTCTCCATGCCTCATTTTCCAGTTATATGTAATTAAGATAACAGTACTTAGCTCATAGGTGAGTTATTATGGGCTGTAATGAATGCTCACTAAATTAAAACAAATTAAGGGCTTAGAAGGATACCTGAAATATAGTAATTGCTCTATGTTTATTAAATAAACACAAAATATGCTTGAAATCACAAGGAGTCAGAGAATTTCTAATTTATATCAAAACTATCATCAGAAAATAGAAAGCGCAATCATATGAAATATTGATCCAGATGTAAGAAAATGAAAACCAGAATGTAAGTAGTACAGTTTGGAAATACCTGTGGCAATACTCAGGGAAGTTGAATATGCCTGTACTCCATGACCTAGAAATGTTACTGCTAGGTTTAAACACCCCTCAACACTCATATACATAATCGGCAGTGGTCCTTATATATATATATATATATATATATACACACACACACACACACACACACATGCATATACACACACATATACACACACACATATTATATATATATTATATATAGAGATGTTTACTGTAGTATCGCTTGAAATTACAGTAATTTTGAAGCAAAATAGGGATATGTATCAATAGCCAAAACAATACGTAAAATGCAGTGATGTATTGATGTATATTGTAGAACATTAAGTAGAAATCAGAAATGTAAAAACACCCCAGGAGAGAAAATTTTAAGAGCACAGATTCCTAGAGATACCCTAATATTAATCACATTTGAGTAAATGAATATGGTATGAGAACGAATGGGATTTGTGATGGGTATAAAAAATTTAAGAAAACAGATTTTTCATTAACAAAGAAGAAATTAGATTTTATATTCTAATGTCAGAAACATTTTGAAAAAATGAGGACACTGTGGCCCTCCTTAAAACATACTCTGCAGGTTTTTCCTGAAGCCTTCCATGTAAGGTCAGTCTGGAACATTGTGGATCTCTAGATAATTAAAGCATTTATTGAAGATGAACATGATCCTTTTGGCAAGAGTAGCAAAAATAGAAGACACTCACGATTGTGACAGGTGGAGATTTTATATTGATTCTCTTATTCATTGCTGTTTAGTAATTTCTAATTTAAACCCTAATGCTTAAAGCTCAGAATTAATGAGCACTTACAGGACAAAAAAAAAAAATGCAAAACAAGCCCTCCAGATATTGGAGATATGTTATTGGATCCAGATATGTTATTGGATAAAGACAAATGGTATTCAAGAGCAATCAGAAATATTTTTATTGAAATCACATTGCTACTATGTAAGAAATTAAATATAAACTTTTATATAGAATTTGAAATGCTTCCATTCAACAAACATTTATTGATCTTTTCTGGAGTTCCAAGCACCATGCTATATTGGGAAAAATAAGGCCTGGCTTTTGATTTTGGAGACTCCAATTTTTAGTCACTGTTAAATAAACAGTTAAATACTCTCTAAAGTGACTACCTGGATACAATTTAATACTCTTTTTTCTTTTATATGAATCATTCCTTAGTGATTAAGTTTCACAGTACTCAAATTTGAAATTACTGAAAATAATTTCATATATATTGTGATTGCATCAATATTTGATAGTTAACTAAAATCCTTATTTAAAACATATTTTGGTTATGATTTATAGTATAGTATATTTCTTACAAATTTTTCTTTTTTTCCACTGAAATAAACAGGTGCAAAACAATAATAAGAGCTTTTTTAGACTAAGTGGGGTAAATGCTAGGCTAAATAAAAGTATGGATTATGAATTATTTTACGAAGAAAGTCATTGCTGTCCTTTCAGCTATATATAGTCACTTGAACTTAGCTCCCCAAGAATTCTCACTACTGGAAAAGGAATAAGATGTGAAAGCAGAGAAGGATTACCAGCCCATCAGGTAGGGAAATAAGAGCTTGGTCTCTTCTCTGCTAATGAATGGCTGGTAGTGCTCATATTGACTTATCTCCCTGGTAACATACATTTATTCAGCAATTTGTAGACGTTTCTACATTCTAGGTGCTTTGGATAAATCAAGAAGAAAACAAAGTTCTTTCACTCCTGGAGATTCTTGCAGTGGGTAAAGCAGTCAATTAACAAGTAAAAATAGAAATAAAAGACCTTTGAGTGTTAATTACTATAGAGAAAAATAAAAGCAGATACAGAGATGTAAAATGACAGGCATGCTGTTTTAGAAATTGTGTCTGGTAACGATTTCCAGAAATGAGGTGGCAGAAATTGTGTTCTCTGAGGGGTCCAGTTTAAATCTTCTGCATGTGTTCTCTGAGGAAGTGGCATTTGAGTAAAGTCCTGAATGAAATAACGAGGTGTGAAATGCAAGCATATAGGAAAATACTATTCCTCCCAGAGGAAATGGCATTTCTCTCCTTTTTTTCTTTTCACTTTTATCTTAAGTTCAGGATACAAGGGCAGGTTTGTTACATAGGAAAACGTGTGTCCTGGGGATGTGCTGTACAGATTATTTATCACCCAGGTATTAAACCTAGTACCCATTAGATATTTTTTGTGATCCTCTCCCTCCTCCCAACCTCCACCCTCTGAAAGTCCCATGTTTGTTGTACCCTTCTATGAGTCCATGTGTTATCATTTAGCTCCCACTTATTAGTGAGAAGATGTGGTATTTTTGTTCCTGTGTTAGTTTGCTAAAGATAATGGCCTCCAGCTTCATCCATGTCCCTGAAAAGTACATGATCTCATTATTTTGTATGGCTACATAGTATTCCATCGTACATATGTACCCACATTTTCTTTATCCAGTCAATCACTGACGGACATTTAGGTTGATTCCATGTCTTTGCTATTGTGAATAGTGCTTCAATGAACATATACATGCATGTGTCTTTATAATAGAGTGATTTATGTTCCTTGGGGAACATATACACCCAGTAATGGGATTGCTAGGTCAAATGGTATTTCTGTCCCTAGGTATTTGAGGAATCACCACACTGTCTTCCACAATGGATGAACTAATTTACACTCCCACCAACAGTGTATAAGCTTACCTTTACCTCCACAACATTGCCACTATCTGTTATTTTTTGACTTTTTAATAATAGCAATTCTGATTGGTACGAAATGGTATCTCATTGTGCTTTTGACTTGCATTTCTCTAATGATAAGTGACGTTTAGCTTTTTTGTATATGCTTGTTGGGCACATGTATCTTCTATTGAGAAGTGTCTGTTCACGTCCTTTGCCCACGTTTTTATGAAGTTGATTTTTCTTGCAAGTTTAATTTACTTCTAGATGCTGTGTATTATTAGGCTTTTGTCAGATGCTTAGTTTGCAAAAACTTTCTCCCATTCTGTAGGTTGTCTGTTCACACTGTTGAGTTTCTTTCTGTGTGCAGAAGCTCTTTAATTATATCCCACTTGCCAGTTTTTCGTTGTCGCAATTGCTTTTGGTGTCTTCATGAAATCTTTACCCATGCCTGTTTCCTGAATGGCATTGCCTAGGTTGTCTTCCAGGATTTTTACACTTTCAGATTTTACATTTAAGTCGTTAATTTATCTTGAGTTAATCTTTGTATATGGCGTAAGGAAGGAGTCCAGCTTAAATCTTCTGCATATGGCTAGAGAGTTATCTCAGCACCATTTATTGAATAAGAAATCATTTCCCCATTGCTTGTTTTTGTCAGGTTTGTGAAGATTAGATAGTTGTAAGTGTACAGTTTTTGAAACAGCATTTCAGGAAAGATAATAACAAAGTATAAGGTCTTGAGGTAGAAATGACCTTTGTGATTTGAGAAAATGGCAGGAAGCCAAGTGGCTTGAGTTCATTGGTCAATTGGATGAGTGATGAGGAAATGAAGTGAGACAAATAGCCAGGAGGCAGATCCTGGAGACCAAAGGTCCCCAAATCCCAGGCCATGGACCATTACCCATCTGTGGCATGTTGGAAACCAGGCTGCACAGCAGGAGATGAGCAACAGGTGAGCAAGCATTACTGCCTGAGCTCTGCCTCATGTCAGATCAACAGCAGCATTAGATTCTTACAGGAGTCTGAACTCTATTGTGAACCGTGCATGAGAGTGATCTAGGTTGTACACTCCTTATGAAAATCTAACTAATGCCTAATAATCTGAGGTAGAACATCCTGAAACCACCCCCCACCTTCATTTGTGGAAAAATTGTCATCCACGAAAGTGGCCCCCAGTGCCAAAAACATTGGGTATCACTTCTACAGACCCTGCGGCCATAAAATTTATATTTCATTGGTTGTTACCAGGTCATTAGGAAAATAAAGCCTGCAAGAAATCTACTCCTAAAGGATAGTGACGGCTAATTCTCGGGTAGTAGGAGTAGCTGTTGTGTAGCACGGCAAGACTTAGGATTATTGTAGAGCAGAGTGGGAAAAATGTGCTAAGGATTTGAATGTGGTTTATGAGGGAAAGAGAAGAGCAAAGATGACATCAGTGTTTGGGTCTTGAGCACTTTGGTAGATGGTGAAACAATTTATTGAGATAGACAACTGGTATGAGAGTGATAGAAAAGAAAGAGTGACTTGGAACAAGTTAAATTTAAAATATTCATTTGCATTTTCAATCCAAGAAGAAATATTGAGTGGAAAACTGAATATATTTTTCTGGATTTCAGGTGCAAAGGTGTAACTAGAGATACATGTTTGGGAGTCAAATTTTCTCATTTCTCAATGGAGGGTACTAAAGTCAGAAGCTGAAGGCTCATAATATTTAAGAGAGCTATATATCTACCTATAATTGGCATGTTTATGTACAAGTATGTATCTCTACAGGAATATAAAAAGAAAAAATAGCTCACTATGAAGAACTTGAGATAGAGACAGTTATTACTAAAGAAAAGCATTTTTATAAATCATCTGCTATAGATACAGAAGATATATTAAAGTTGTTATAAAACTATAATAAGGGCAATTATTTCAAAAGCGCATTCTAAAGAATTGAAAATTGTACATCAATTAAAAAGTATAAACATTAAGTATTTGATTTAAAATAACTAAATATATAGCACTACATACTCTTAAATATTTTACCTAAAAAATGACATATTTATAATTTGCTAGATATGTTAGTGATGATATTCTAGAGCTCATCATTAAAATATAAGCAAAATGGAATATTCTTGATGAATGCAAAAACACTTGATACCATAAAATATTAAGGTAAAGATCAATTCTTAATGCACCATCAGAATAATTAGTTGGTGAACATGTAGTAATTACTTTAGTGATGGTGGAAAGCAATGCGAAAATAAATGCTAGATTAGTGAATATCATAAAAGCTTTAGCTGAACTATGTTCAAGTAATCATTGTTAAGTGAACAAGCAATAGTATTTGAAAAGAGTTCAGTATTTTTCAAAACAGAAATGGATAATTCCATAAAAAGTTTAAGCTTTATTAACTTGGTTATTTTAATGGCTAATATTTCAGAATTCTTATAATTCTTATAATAATGAGAATTCTAATGCTACTGGCAATAAATCTCAATATTTGCTTTGCCACACAGACATGCATAGGCAAGGCTTCCAGAGGCAAAGTGATGGCATAATATTTCAGATAAAATAAGTTGCTTTACTAATGTAACAACACTATTAGCTAAACATCACTCAAATATATCATAGTTTAGCCACCTGGAAAACGTCCCAGGTATTTTTAATTTAATTGCAATTCGATTTGCCAACAGAGGGTCAAAAGAATATTCTGCTTAATAGATAAATTGAAAGAATATTTGGATTTAACATGAAAAACAAATTATAATTATTTGGAAATTTGAGAAAATGACAGCAAATACATATTCAGGTTTAAAATTTTTAGGTTTTTTTTAAATTCATTTTTTCAGTTGTCAGAAAGTAAAATTTGCTTTTGTTTTGGTTTTGAGACAGTCTTGTTGGAGTGCAGTGGTGTGGTCGCGGCTGACAGCAACCTCCGCGTCCTGGGTTCAAGCAATTCTCCTGCCTTAGCCTCCCTAGTAGTTAGGACTACAGGTGCCCACCACCATGCCCAGCTAATTTTCATATTTTTAGTAGGGACAGGATTTCGCCATGTTGGCCAGGCTGGTCTAGAACTCCTGACCAAGTAATCTGCCTGTCTTGGCCTTCCAAAGTGCTGGAATTACAGGTGTGAGCCACCGTGCCCACCCAAAATTCACTTTTTTGATGTACAGTTCTATGAATGTTAACATTTAGCTTAATGTTCTATCAATAGAATTAGAAACAGTTTAACAACCTCTCCCAACCAAAAATATTTCCCTCATGCTAACATTTGTAACCAAACCCTTTCCCTAGCCCCATATCCTAACCCCTAGAAATTACTGAACAGTTGTCAGCCACTGTAAAATTGAATTTTAAAGAGTGGGTTTCTTTCCTTTTAGAATATATGTAATTGGGGCTGTATGTTTGAGATATTGTCTATTGTTATCTTAAATTTATAGTAAATAATGTTCAGTTTTCTTCTATTCCATGGAAGCATTTTCCTGAAATGTTTGTAACCTACAATCTTATTTTTTCCTGTTTCTTGGGCATGTGTGTGTATACCTATCAATCTCTTTCTCTTTATACATATATATGTAATTCCCTTTTGATTACTAATTTTTTGAATGATTATTTAAAATGGGATAATATGTTCTTCTGGAAAAGAAATAAAAAGCCTGGGTTCCAGGCTTACGGTAGATGTTTTATTTTATTTAGTCTTTATGTCTTCCCCAGCTAATAAAGGTAGGAAACTGAGGTTTCTCAAAAAGAAATATTTTCTTCTTATCTCTCATGAAAATAGACTGCTATTTGCAAATATGGCTTATTTTTGTGATTCCATATATATATTTAACAGCTCATTTCTTGAAGTTAAATAACGTCTAGATAGGTTCCTATAGCCATCCCTGCACCCTATCCAGATTTTTAAAAACATGAGATTTAGGCTTCCCACCTCAGGTTATGTCAATCCCCTTCTTAGAGCATACTTTGTTAGGTTTTTTTGGAGAGGCTACTGTGGAATCTTTTCTCTGCTCCCAACCACAGGAACCTCATCGTTCTCCACAGCCACAGCCAGCCCTTCTGCTTACCTGTGGATTTGGGAAATTTGTGATCTAGCTTCTGCAGAAAGAGAGTTTTGGTGTGGGTTTTTTCTTGTCTTTTTATATTTTGGATACTTTTTTTTAAAAAAAAAAGATGAAGTATAGGTTAACTTTATGCCCCAGCATTCATACTGAAAAGAACAGATGCATCATTTCTCCAAACAGCTTCTCTCAGCTTCCAAAGTCCCCTCACAAGGGAACTAGAACTCATAAAAATATCATCCACATGATGTAGTCTGACAGATCTTGGTTACAACACAATTCTTTCATATTTTTGGCTCATATTGCTCTTCAGGAAGAATATGCACAATACAAGCATTTCCATTTAATAGAATTTTGCCAACACCAGGCTCCCATGTTTTGTTTTGGTTTTAATCATATCCAGAACTAAGGAAAAAGCAGAGTGAATGCAGAGATGTCCCTTTTCTCTTGCTAATCTGAAAGTACTGTATCAAATTCAATTTTCTTAGACATATTTTTCAAAAACACTTAGAGATCTGCTACAAATATACTGTCTAAAGCCCCATCTGAAGTATTTTATCACAATTAGATCTCCTATTAATTTACACTATGTAGATAATGGCTGAATATTCAGATAACTTTTTAATTAAAAAATGACTATAAGTGATATATAATAAGCTATCAGTTGACACATAGTAATTACATTGTTATCATCATTTTCCCCAAGATTTTTATGCTGGGAGATGCTGGAAAGTCTCAAGAACCTACTTTGTAACAGTATATGCAATAAGAACTAATTCAAATTAATAGAGATCACCACAGCAATTTCTTTTGAGGGGAATTATATGGTCTTTTAGTTAACATATGTAGAAATCTGTAATTATACTAAATTTTCTCTCTGCACAAGTCAATGATGACTTAGAACAATCATCTGTTAGAAGACTTCAGAAAGATGTTAAGGAAATTTTTAGGTCCTTTGCAAAATTACAAAGTTCAGTGGTTTTCATAAGCAGTGGCCTCAAATATTCTTTTATAACGGTTCTGAAAAAACTCATCCTGCTACCTTCAACACAAATAGATGTATGTATGTACACATAAACTTGCTCACATATGTGCACACATATGAAAATACATATTCATACACACGAGTATGTGTTACAAAACAGTTAGATTTCTAACTCATTTATATAAAGTGATGTAAGCACTCTACATAAATAAAAGTAATTAGTTTCTAATTTCAATATAAAATTCTATCATATAAAATACTGAGAGTTGAGAAATGTGATTATATTCTGTTTTGTTAAGTTAAAAGTATATATATCCAGTGATTTAGTACACTGGCACCTCATGGGATGGATTTTAAAAGTTTAAATCTTTCATTGATACTAAACTGTTAAGAGTTATCCATTCTCAACTCCAACACTGGTATAATTTTATTCAACTGTTAATTTAATCAGGTCTTTCCATGGTTACATATATCTAAAGCATCCTCCATGCTATTTTCTATGCAAAGCACTTCACCAAAAGTTTTCCTCTTATCTTGCCAACGTCCTCTCTCATTTCTTCCTCCTCACATCTCATCTCTAAACTCAACTCTGTCCTAAATCATTTTCAAAGAGTTCCATGACACACCAACCTCTATGGTGTTTCCCCTCTTGAATTACTTTAATATTTACACTTTTGCAACTCATTGACACACTTTATGTATACATATACATATTTTTAAATTATTTTTGAGACAAAGTCTTGCTCTGTCACCCAGGCTGGAGTGCAGTGGTACAAACATGGCTCACTGCAGCCTCAACCTCCTAGACTCAAACGATCCTCCTGCCTCAGCCTCCCAGGTACCTGGGACCACAGGCTCATATCACATCACCATACCTGGCTATTTTTTAAATGTTTTATTACATATGAGGTCTCAATATGTTTCCCTGGTTGGGCTTGTACTCCTGAGATCAAGCAGTCTTCCCACCTCAGCCTCTCAAAGTGTTGGGATTACAGGTGTGAGCTACCATGCCTCATATATACCCAGCCCCTCATATATTTTTGTACCATTATATTTTCATATGGTTTTCTTACGACTCCCAAATATATTTTAATTGTATACAAAGCAGAAATAGACTTGCTTATGTTTTAGTAATAAAATATTCAGTGCGTTCCTTTTATTAAATACTGTTGACTGTGAACTTTTTTTCACACATTGCTTAACTGATGATAAATCGTTAATGATGACATTTAAGTTAAAACTCTGGGTGAAACCATTTGGTCATGAAACCTTTTCCTTTAGTCTCATATTCAATGATATATCTATGCATAGAATTAATCCTATGCATAAGTTAAAATATCCATTATAATAATAGATATTATTCCAGGAATGTATTTGATGTTAAGCTTTTTGTTGACATTATTTTTAGTCTGAAAAATGTAAGACTTAGAAATATTTTTTTTAACATTCTAAGAGTGCTTAAGCAGACAGTGCTTAACATTCTAAGAGTGCTTGGCCATTGGCTAAGAGGAAAGGTTTAGAGAAAAAGAGCCATGAATTTCTTACTCATTTGCTGCATGACCATGGCAAACCTCTACATTTATTTACAGTTAGTTAGCTCAGAATGCTATAACAAAAGTACCATAAACTGGGTGGCTTAAGCAACAGACATTTATTTCTCATAGTTGTGGAGGATGAGAAGTCCAAGACGAAGGTTCCAGCAGATTCAGTTCCCGGTGAGGGCCCATTACTTGGCTTGCAGATATCTACCTTCTTGCCATGTCCTCATACAGTGATGAAAGAGAAAACCCTGGTTTCTCCTCTTCTCATAAGGTCACTATCCTATCATTGGGACCCCACATTTATGGTCTCATCTAAACCTAATTATCTCCCAACAACTCTGTGCCCAAATACTACAACATTGTGAGTGAGGGGTTCAACATATGATTTTTGGGAAAATATAAATATTAAGCCCATACCGATACTCATTGGTTAAATTAAAATATTGGGAATCTTCAATAGAATTATTAAATAAGACTTGAGACTTTCAGGTACAAACCTTGCCCAAGTCTCCATTCCATGTACTGTCTGTCACTCTTTCCTCTGATCAGTCTACTGTAGCCACAGTGGTCTCCTTTCAATTCTCTTAAAACAATTTTACTCTTGTTGTTCTCTCTGCCAGGAAGTTTCTACCCCAGGTCTTTAGCGAGAGCTTCTCTTGCCAATGCTACTAAAATACATTCTAGATACTTTATTATCTAGACCAATTCTTTATTTTTTTTAATCTTCTACTTTTTGAAATGTTTTTATTTTCATTACCTTCATACATTTTACTATTTGAAATTTTCCTGGTCATGCATTTATTTACTTCTGAATTGTCTCCACTAATAAAAGTTAACATTATAAAAGCAGGGACTTTGTATTTTTATTGCTGAATCCCCAGTCTTTAAATTGCATATGGTATAGCATAAGCATGCAGTAAATACTTCTGGAAGAATTAATCAGTGAATTAGGAAATTAGAATTTAGTATCTCACATGAAAACATTCAATAAATAGTACCTGTATTAACATATATAGAATAGAATAATATAGTTAATAGTTTCAAGTTTAAAAATAATCAAAATATCTGTGTTTTAATATGTAAGCTTAAGAAATATAATGAAAACTTGGAAATAAGATATTTTATATGATTCTACTTGGTTCTTTGCATATTTTCAAATTGTTTCCTATATTTTTTACACACATATCCTACCATAAAACAAGACTTCATCAATTTAAAACTGTTTAAATAATATAAAGTATACTTTTCCACCACAGTGATAAAATTAGACACTGATAACAGAAATAAACTTTACAAATTCACAAAATGTGGAAATTATGTAGTCAATGGATTCAAGAAAAAGACAACAAGGAAATTAGAGATAAATAAAAACAAAAACACATCAAATTAAAATTATGGAATGCAGTAAAAACAGTGCTCATGGGGAAATGTATAGTTACAAACATTTGTTTAAAAAAAGAGAAAAAAACACTCAAATCAGTAACCCAACTTTCTACTTAAAGACAATGTGAAAAAGAGGAAAATAAACATAAAACTGAAAGAAAAATAAAATAATGGTTAGAGTGGAAATAAATAAAATCAAGAATAGGAAAAACTATAGAGGAAATCAAAATCAAAAGTCGATTCTTGGAAAGATTCAGCAAAGTTAACAAACCAACCTAGACTAACCAATAGAAAAAGAGAGAAGATTAAAGTTACTAAAAATAGCAATAAGATGAGGACATAACTTCTAGTCTTACAGAAATAAAAATTATTGGAATATAATATTTGCCAATAAATTAAATAACTTAGATGAAATAGGCAAATGTGTACAAACTACCAAAACTGACTCAAGAAGAAATAGGAAATCTGTATACACCTATAACAAGCAAAGATATTGAATTGGTAATCAAAAATCTACCCACAAAGAAAAGCCCAATGCCCAGAAGACTTCACTGGTGAGTTCTACCAGCAACTAAGGAATAATTAATACCAATTATTCACAAATTTTCCCAAAAATTAAAAAAGCAGTGAATATTTCTTAATTCATGCTATGAGGACAGTATTACCTTAATACCAAAACCAGGCAAAAATATTACAAAAAGAAAACTACACATTCTGTCTAATGACAATAGCTACAAACATCCTAAACAAAATTTAAATATCCAACATGTTAAAAAAAAGATATTCAATATGACCAAGTATTTTTCCCAGGAATGGAAGGATGCCTTAATATTAGAAAACCAATTACTATATGGTACCATATCAATAAAATAAAGGCAAACTACATGATCATCTCAACAGATACAGAAAAAGCATTCAACAAAACCCAATACTTCTTCTTAATAAAAAGACTCATTAAGTCAGAATAGAAGGGAAATTCCCCAACTTGATGAAAACCATCTAGAAAAACCTGTAGCAAACATCACCCTCAACGAAGAAAGACTAAGTTTCTGCCCAAGGTCAAGACAAGACAAGGATGTCTGTTCTCACCACTTATATTCAGCATTGCACTGCAGAGACAAGGCGGTGCAATTAGGCAAGAAAATAAAATAAAGGACAAGGACATACAGATTAAAAAAAAGAAGCAGTAAAAAATATCTCTATTAGTAGGTAGCAAGATGGACAGAAAATCCTAAAGGATCTACTAAAAACCTATAAGAAATAAAAAATTTCATCAACTTTGCAGGATAAAAGATTATATAAAAAATCATTCTCATTTATATATTTGCAATGAATCTGAAAATGAAATTAAGAAAATAATTTTGTTTATAACAGCATCAAAACATATATTTGGAAAAAAATTAACAAAATAAATGTAAGGCTTTTATTCTGTGCTATGATCTAATTGCTTTTGTTACCCCCAAATGTGGTAGGTTGAAATCGTAACCTGCCAGGTATTAGGACATGGGGCCTTTGGGAAGTGGTTAGGCCTTAAGGGCAGAGCCCTTATGATTGGGATTAGTACTTTTATAAAAGAGGCCCCAGAGACTAACTAGCCCTTTCCACTAAGTGAGAAGGCAGCAAGAAAACACCATCTATGAGCCAAAAGATGAACCAGCACCAGACATGAAATCTGTCTTGATCTTGGACTTCCCATCTTCTACAAATATGAGAAATGAATTTGTTGTAAATAACCTATTCATAATTGAACATAATAATTACCAAATTTCCAACTGTTTTATTTGTAGTCATTGACTGATATTAAAATTCATACAGAAGTCTGAGTGACCATAATAATCAAAGAATCCTGAAGAAAAGGAACAAAGTTAAAGCATTCGAAATATTTCCCAACTTCAAATATTACTCTGAAGCTTCATTTATCAAGACAGTATGATACTGGCATGAGGACTGCTATATCAACTTTTTCTCTTATTTAAAATTTCAGGAATATCAACTTCAGTTAGCATAGACATTGGATATTTAGAAACAAAATTAAAATAGTAAACAATAAAGTAAATTTGCCTTCCAAGTACAAAAAGATGTTCTGGAAACAAACTAAATTGACAGGAATCATCAGAAAAAATATAATAAAACTGAGGAAAATGTTTCAGTTAAATTTATTTTTACTCTTTCATCATTATTTGAAATATATTAGAACATTTGTAATTAAAAGTAATAACAGGATACAAATTTTTATTTAATTTTTGATAAATCAAATCTTGTAATATCTTGGGATAATCTTTCTAAATTTCATTATATTTAAATCCTTTTAATTCCTTATAATGCTACTCCCTCCAGAGCCAATGCAGAAGATTTATCTGAAGGGGTAGAGATATAGGTAAGTACCAAGCAGGATAATTATATTATGCCTCAGAAACACCTGGAGGAGGGCTTGTTATAACACAATCACTAGAATTTCTTATCTGGGGTATATCCTAAGAATATACATGCCTCATAAGTTTCCAGGTGATGCCGATGCTCTCAATCCAGGCAATAAAACCTGAGAACAACTAGACTAGGTTATTATTTGAACTCTGAGCCTCCAAGAGAAGAAGCCAGATAGATATCTGCCTGTGAACCCACACTGAATACTTCAGATAAACCCTGAATAAATATAGCTCACAGGGTTGTATTTCACAACCTTGCCAGTTGTATTTTATTCAGTGTTCTCAGTCCATATCATATGGAAGAAAAGCATCATGAGGCTGAGCCAGGTCCCAAATTCCTGACCCACAAAGCTATAAAGTATAAGAGTGTGGTATCTGTTTTAAGCCCTAAGTTTTGTGGTCAGTTGTTACACAACAATAGACAGCCTGAATATCTAAGTATCTACATATGAGGACAGGCCCATCTTTTTGATGCACTAGAATTTCAGCAGGTATCAGCATTTTTGAGAGAAGTCCGGTAAGTGCTCTGGGACATGATGTAAGAAGACCCAGAATCCTGCTTGAGGCTCTGGCTAACTTGTCAGATTTTCTGTTTCTTGTGCCAAGGTCCTGCCAACAGCTCCCTGGCTAAAGAATAAGCCACAGAGTAGCAATATTTTTACTAATCATAATGGTACTTTTATTTAATGATAATTTAGCTCTTTAGTTATGGGTAGGGGTGAAATGAAAAAACAATCCAGATAAACTTGGCAGTTTTATGTTTTGCTTTGTTTTATTTTTTTCCAAGGAAGATTCAGAGAAATAAGTTTAGATGACTGGCCCAAGTTGATATTTAAACTCAGTACTTAATTTTATTTAGCACATTTACCTATATTAATGTAACTAAAATTATATTTTTTACAATATTATCTATTTTTTCCTTAGGTATAGGATAATTATGCTTCTCTTGTCTGCTTTCATATGAAACTTAAGTACATTTTCTATAGGAAAGATATTGTATTCAGACACGCAAATATAATGAGAATAACATCTGATATCTAAACTAAACACTAAGTTCTAATAAGCAAAAGCGAATTCTATATCAGTAATTATGTAGGGAGAGAAAGACTAGCAGTACTATGGAAGTTCATTAATTTCTTATTGAATAAAGGCCTCTGGAGAGATCAGTTTACCAACCTAACCTTGAAGGCTGGAGCTGTGTGTGTGTGTGTGTGTGTGTGTGTGTGCACCCACGCACGTGCACCCATGCACATGTGTGATGCTTTCTATGAGTAATTTCTTCTATAAGTCAGCCACAACTACCATGTTCTACATATAGAGAGACCAGTTAAAGCCCTTCAATTAGTAAAGACTTGCATTCTTCAAAACAAAACTCAATAGTTTTTGTTTTTGTTTTTCATTTCACAGCTTTTAGTCTGGGCTCAAACTGCATCAGTGAAAACAGGGTCCCTAGTGAGTGGCAGGCTGGCAGCTCTGAATGACACATTGCCAAAGGTAGCCAACTGTCAGGATAATAAATACATACCATAAGCATCTACTTAGTCTCTTGTTAATATTTTCCATTTTGTAAAATTATTTATAGCTCATTTGAACAAAAGGAATAAATACAAGATGCATATTCCTCACCATACTGACGCTGCTCTCTCCAACAACATAACCAGATATTATAAACACATATTAATAATAGCTTATTCATGTAATATACATGTTTGATCTAAGATCTTGAGAGGAACAGCTATAACAATTGAAGTCAGATACAGATTATGACAGGGTTTAAATACCAGCTGAGAAATCATATGGTTAGTCATGGAATAACGAGTCTGGTGTGAAACATCAACTTCCAAATTCTGATAATTTCTTTTCTATAGCTTTATTTGTACTAAGTTTGATTTTTCTTGTTTACGTTCATGTCAGATGTCCAAAAATGTTCTGATAATTTTAAGTGTCAGTGCCTGCAAAAAGTCTTACCAAAATTGTTCCTTTTTCTTTAATGACTCGAAGCGGCAGAGCTAACAGTCTTAGCATTTCAGAACTATGATGTTGTTGTTTATCTTTTAGATACCAGATACAGCTGGCCTTTTGATCATTTCACACTTTCCTTAACTTTGAATCTAAAAACTTTGACTTTCTTTACTGTTTGCCATTTACTTTTTTCTGTTATTGAGATCCGTCATTCTTCTGACATGTGATTCTCCTTGGATATGACTCAAAGTATGTCAACATATGTACAATGTCTTAATTTCAATCTTAAGTAAGCTCTTTTCCTGAAATCTAACCTCTAATGCCCAACCCTAACTGCAAATTTGGCACTGAAAGAGTCAGGTAAGAGTGAAAATGATCAAACAGGAAGATCCTGGTATGCACTGATAATTACTCTAGCTGCTTTACATATGCCATCTCATTAATTCTTACACGGCAACTGCAACATAACAATGTTCATGTATTTTACACATAAAGAAAGCCTCACTGTAACTAAATAATATTAAATGATTGAGTATAGAAAAGCTTTCTCGGCCAGGCGTGGTGGCTCACGCCTGTAATCCCAGCACTTTGGGAGGCTGAGGCGGGCGGATCACGAGGTCAGGCGATCGAGACCATCCTGGCTAACATGGTGAAACCCCGTCTCTACTAAAAATACAGAAAATTAGCCGAGCGTGTTGGCGGGCGCCTGTAGTCCCAGCTACTCAGGAGGCTGAGGCAGGAGAATGGCGTGAACCCGGGAGGCGGAGCTGGCAGTGAGCCGAGATCGCTGCCACTGCACTCCAGCTTGGGCGACAGAGCAAGACTCCGTCTCAAAAAAAAAAAAAAAAAAAAGAAAAGCTTTCTCAAAGGAGCAAAAACTCCATTTCATTGGTGGTCCACTTCTGGGAACTTTCACATTTTGTATAAAGGTAAATATAGAAGAATAACTGAAACAGTAGTACTTACTTATTAAATACTAAAATGTAAATCAATGTAACTTAATAAAACAGGTATTTTAATCATCACAGACTAATGCATGAAATCTTATTTTTCATACCTGATATTCTATATTTATGGAGTTAATATGTGAAATTATCCTACAAAGTTATCAAAGGTAATCACTGAAGACTAGGACTATAACATCCCAAGAGATAAGTAGAGAGTGTCATTCCACTTTTCTCATGTGGGAAAGCAATATAAAATTCCACACAACTTGCATGTATATGGCATTGATTTATTAGCTTTTGACTAGTATTAAGTTAATTGCAATGTAGAAATAAAGTATTATATTACTATAATAATTCATTATGAATATGGCATTCAAATGCAAGATTTAGGTATAGAATTTTCACGAATAATGATCATTTTCATTCCTGAATATATATTCATTCAGTGGTGTGTGTGAGTGTAAGAGCCAGTGTATACTGACATATAAATGGTAATTGCTAGGTTCAGAATTTAAAAAGTATTGTTAAATACAACTGTTATTAAAAGTTAAATTATATAAACATAAATTTTACTAACTTTAAAAATAATCGATATTAAAAGATCATTTCCTGATTATTTTAACAGTCATAAATTACATATATGCTTGAGATTTATATATATTGCGTCTGTATGGCAGAAATACTATATAATGGTGTACTTCTGTACTTCTTTGTCTTACTTTGATCAGTGATATTACATTTATAACTTGAAATTGGCCAAGGGAGGAATATGTCAACCACCAAAGTCAGCAAACACTATGGATTGAAGCTACTTTTCCTTGATACTCAATTGTACACCATTGTATATAGTTATATGATTATTTTCATTGATTCTCAATGACCATCATGTCAGTAACATCAACATAGCTGATATACAAGTCAGGCAGATGGAGATAAAAATATGACCTTTATTAATGATGAAGCTATTTGCAGAAGCTGCTTTAGAGTCTGCAGCCAAATGTGCTTTCTAGTTTTTTAATGCATAATTAGGTAGATTTACTCCTGCTTTCCAACCCAGCTGACATCTGCAAGCTACCCTTGAGAAATCAGTTCCAAATGCAGCCAGTCTTTGGGCAGAGAATTCTAGGGATCTGGAACAGAGAGAAGAAAGGCTGAGCCAAACATGCTCTGTAACTTCTCTCCAAGTCAGGGTATCAATTAGTTTATGTTTGACTACTTGACACTGAAAAAAGCCAAAATAACAATGGGTAAACAAGATAGAGCACATGTCATGGCAGTTTGGAGGTATGCATTCTATGAGTGCTAGGCTCTGTTTAACTTGCTGTTCTGTCATCCTGAAAAAGTCACTTCCTGGTCCAAGGTGACTGCAGGAGCACCATCTCATATGCATTCAGCCAGCAGGAAAGAAGAAAGAAAGAGAACTCATCCTTCCTCTTAATGGGACTTTCTTAAATGCCATACAATTTTTTTCCTTCTCATCAGTGAAAACTTAGTCACATGGCCACGACTGGCTGCAATTAAAACTAGTCAAGAGAGTCTTCAGTTAGAGATATGGAAGCTCAGAATAAATTTTATATTTGATACTAAAAATGAGAAAGGGAATATCGTATGGAGAATCTTTGCCATACTCACTAATTACATGATTAATTGAATGGGAAAAGAGGCTAGATATGTCAATGTAGCTGAATACTAACCTAGAAATATAGGGCATGGTAAATGTGTTCTACCACAGCATCTGCTTTTTCACAACTTGAATCTATTACAATGAAGATAATGGAAAACTCACTCATAAGAGTGCATGTAAAATCCAAAGCAACTGCAAGTGACTCCACAAAAATAAAGGACTATATACATAAACTAAAGAATTCTGCACACCTATAATCCCAGCATTTTGGGAGGCCAAGGTGGACAGATCACGAGGTCAGGAGTTCGAGACCAGCCTGACCAACACGCTGAAACCCTGTCTCCACTAAAAATACAAAAAAAAAAAAAAAAAAAAATTAGCCGTGTGTGATGGTACACACCTGTAATCCCAGCTACTCAGGAGGCTGAGGCAGGAGAATCGCTTGAACCTGGGAGGCAGAGGTTGCAGTGAGCAGAGATCGAGCCACTGCACTCCAGCCTGGGCAACAGAAGAAGAAGGATTCTGATAACTTGGTTTGTAACATAGAGGGGAGAAATTACATATTCCCACAAAGTATACCATATATATAATTTAACAGTTAATATTTTTAATATGTAATTGTGACTCTAATTGTCACAAGTTTGGAAGAAAAAATATATTACAGGAAGGTTAAAATATGGTTTATTATAAAGAAAAACACAATTTGATTATACTACATTATCAATTATCTGCAAAATCAGATTAAAAGAACATGATACATCTCCCAAGAGCGGGCCATAATAAGTGGATAAAAATAACCTAAAAACAAATGACTTTGAACTAAAACTGATTTTCTGAAGAAGTTTAGGGTATTTAAAGTGTATCTTCCCAAGTAGCTCATTCATTATATTACACATTTGTGTATCACACAGTTTCTTTATAGAGAATATAAGTTTTATCATCAATTTAATACTTGTCTAAACAGAATGTGTCTAAAGCACATTCTGAAATACTGATGTCTGGATTAATGAGATTTTACTCTAAATTCTAATTTTTGCAAGGACACAGAAAGTTTCACAATCAGTAAAATACTTTTCCATCCTTGATGAAATGCCTGAAATAAGTACTGTGTCATTATAAAGTAATTCCAACTAGAAGAGAATATTGAATGTGTCTTAACATTCCTTGGTAATGAGACTTTGCAGTACTTTTGTAAGCATCATTGCAGAAACACTTAACATTATGTGATTAAGTTAGCATGTTTAAACATTTATGTTTATGCAAGTAGAAATAAATCAGCCTGTTTGTTGATGCTGCTGAGGAAGTGTAATCTTCATCTACAGAACAGAAGTTTTAACATGTGCCTAACATAATGCCCTTGCTCTAGGATTTCATTTGTGTTCAACTCCAACATATGAATCATTTTTAATCGGAGAAAATAAGCATGATAATCAAATGCAAAGCAGCATAGGCTGATAGTGAATGGTTGTTCTAATGAGAACTTAACTTCTGCTTATGTCAGATAATTTAGCTTTCAAAAATATAACTGACTAATAAGCCAAGGAAAAGTCTAAGCAAATCTCTAATAAATTACTCCAGGAAGTTAGAAAAACTCCCCTATAACCTTTGTGCATTTCACCATCATTAGAGAGGTCACAGTTCTCTGGTGCCACAAGTACAGCCACAACATATGCCTCATCAATTTTCAATCTGTGTGTATCCCTTCAATTAATATCTAGGATAATGTTAAAAACATTAACAAAAATTCACTTGATCTAGCTTGGCTCATTTGTTGAGCCTGCAAGGTTAAATAAGTTTAATTAAACATGGTGGTGAATTTTAAATGACTTTTGCATCCATTCTTCTATCCTCCAGACATTGTTCAAAAGACCTGAATGTTACCAGTCTCTAGGCTCATTTTCAATTACATAAACCATGCATAGGTTGACTCAGCTCATGCAAGGAAAAAAAATCTAGGCAAATTATGTACTATGAGAAATAATTTATTTTTGTTTTTTTTCTTTCGAGCAGGAGAACAGATAAGCTTTTGAGGGTTGCTAACTGAAGTTTTCTCTTAGTTTTCAGAACCTAAAAAATAATACTTCAAATCAGGTATGGTTATGGAAAAAAGACTGATGGGTTTTAAAATATTATTAAATGTCTATAATTTACTTTTACTCTTAAGTAGATTTAGACTGTGATGATGAAAATGGTAAAGTCAGATCTCAAAGAAAAGAATATGACATGAAGTTGGGAATCATTTTTGAATTTTGCTGAATTAAAATTGTCGGATCAGCCACTTTCTTACTTCTCATTTAGAATAAGTGGGATCCTCAGACACTAAATTTAGACAAAATTCCTGAGTGTTTGGTGCGGACGTAGGGATGATACTAAATTGATACCATAGTTGCACAGTTGAATATGAAAGATAGAGAAAACATAATATCAAAAGTCAGGTACAGACTCCTGGCTTCCACTTAAGTTATAGAAAGCAGAAAATATTGCTTCCAATATAAAGAAGAAAAAACTCAGTAATATATAAAACCACAATGTTTTGGAGTCTTTCTGAGAGCTGAGATTGCAGGTCAACCAATTAGCTTAAAATCTAAGGAAACACAAGCTCCTCCAGGAAGAGATAGCACATGAACATAGACTCATATAGAGCAAAGAATGGGAGGAAGACTAGGCCACCACACCAGAAGTTAAGAATTCATCTTTTTTTTTTTTTTTTAACAAATTGCTAAAAGTCAAGTGTGAATTAGTGTGGTAGCATGGAAACACTTGTATCTGAATACAAAAGTGTAATTATTAACCCAATCATAGGCTCTTCTCCAAGGAATACCATTGAGTACTTAGGAAAAAGAATATGGGCAGGTGGGTAGTGGACAAAGCCTCCATCAGTGATGCTGGATTGTGGCGAAGGGAGTGGTCACTACTCAAGAAAGAATAAAGCCCTGCAGAAAGTCCTTCCTAGGTTAATACTTCCACAGAATAAAACCATTAAGCTGCTATGGAAAGGAAAACATATCTGTTGTATCCCAAGACAGATGGTAAGACCCACTGTGGCCAGGAGAAGAGAAAGTGGCATGCCAAATTCCAATGAAACAGCATCATGGAAACACCCTTGTCCAGACCACAGATCACTTCCCATTAGGGGAAACTGCGAAAGCCCTACTCCAAAGAACTAGAAACCCAGAGACTGCCTGTGTCCGCCTCTGGATCACAGCAAAGAACATTCTCATTCTAGCATAGGCTCCCAAGTGTTAACGATCTTCTACTGGGGGGAGCACAAAAGCATAGAGACAGACTCTTTGAGAAAATAGTGAGAAAAGTCCTAAAGAAGAGGGCAGAAAAGCATGAAAAACCCTTCAACAATCCAGCCCTCACTTTATGCACTAGTTAACACTTAGTAAATTATAAAGACAGTTATATACAGTAAATTATAAAGATAACCTAAGTAATAGCAACACCCAAATTTAGGTCAACTTCTGGCTACATAAATTCAATTCCCTGGTAAAGTCTTAGAAGACAAGAAGTCATGCCCATACTCAAGCAACTAAAAGACTACCTCAGTCTCTACATTCCAATATGCAATGTCCAAGTTTTAACAGAACATTGTAAGACATGCAGGAAAGCAAGTAAAAAATGAGCCTTCAACAAGGGACAAAGTACTTAACAGATTCAGACTTAGCTATGACACAATTGTTGGAACTACTAAAGAATTTAGAAAAAATATAATTACCATATTTAATAAATTGAAAAAATAGGTAAAATGTATATGAACAGATAAAAATACGGATGGGAAATTGAAATTATAAGAAAAAAATAAAATGCTAGAAAAAAATCCATATTAATAGATATGAACAATGTCTTTAAAGGATTCACTGTGTTACTTAAACAGACAACAGGAGAATCAGTAACCTTAAGGACAGGTCAGCAGAAATTTTCCAAACTAAAACACAAACTGAAAAATAATAGCTAAAAATACATTTTAAAATCCAAAAACAATAGCAATGAAGAATTGTTGGAGGCAATATCAAATAGTTTAGCGTATGTATAATTGTACTCCATGAGAGAAGAGAGAGAAAATAGGTCATAAGTACTATTAAATGAGATAATGGCTTGGAATTTTTCAAAAATAATACAATATATTAATCTGTAGAACTAAGAATATCAGTGACCCTAATCAGGATAGATAACACCACCCTCCCACACCAAATTTAAAAGCCCTAGATGCGTGATATCTAATTTCTAAATATCAAAGATAAAGATAAAATATTAAAGGCAACCAGAGATAAAGGCGCACAATATACAGAAGAACTATGATTAAAATTTTATCAGATGTCATATTAAAAATATGAAAGTCAGATGACAATGAAGTGACATCATTAGAGTATTTTTTAAAAAATCTACCCACTTAGAATTCTATATTCTGTGAAAATATCATTCAAAAATGAAAGAGTCATAATATTAGTTTCAGACAAACAAAACCTCCTACTATAGATTGTTACTAGCAGTCTTGCTATTCAGGGAATAAAATTCAGGCATAGGATTATTATTAACAGCATCTACATGAAGAAATGAAGATCTTCATGAACACTTAAAATCAATGTAAACATGTTAGGCTTGTTTTTTATTATTTTTTTCACCAAGCAATTATTTTCTGACTATAGAAAAATTAGGAGGAAAAATGTGAGTATATATCATTCCAAATTTAAATATTTTACAAAAAGTTACAAAAAAAATGGGAAAAAAAGGAAGTATGTGCCTACTGATGTAGAATTCTTATACTACATATAAAGTATAATTTTGTTTGAAGAGAGACAAAAATTAGTCAATATAACTTAATATGTTAAACATAACCATTAAAATATAAAAAAGAAATATAAATAGCGACCATAAAAAGAGTAAATGTGAATATTTCAAAAAATCAAAATCAGGCAGAATAAAGGGAAAATGTAATAGAGAACTAATAGAACAAATAGATTTTAATCCAACAATGACTGCATTGAGTATAATTGATCTAAACACAGAATGTCAAATTTGTATAAAGTACCAAGACTCAACTATATACTCGATAGAAGAAATTACTTTAACTTTAAAGAAAACTGGTAAAAATTTAAAAATGAAGTGACTATATGAGTATAAGGCAAAATAGATTTCACCAGAAATAAAGAGAAACATTGCATCATGATAAGGAGACAATATACCATGAACATGTAACAATTGTAAAGTGTATGAATCTAAATAGAGCTTTAAATTCATAAACACACACACACACACACACACAAACAAACTTGATAGAACTCAAAGGAGACATTAAAAAATGCAATTATCATTGGAGCTGCAACACTTCTACCACAGTAATAGAAAATGTAGATATAAAAATCAGCAAGGATTTAAAGGCCTGAATAATACTACCAAAAATAGACTTAATAGACAATTAATAACCCTGTGTACAATAACAAGCAAAATAGATATTTTCTCAATAGCACATGCAACATAAACAGAAACAGACAATATTCTGGGCCGTCAAAAAAAATTCCCCAAAATAATACAAGACATACTATCTGACCATACCAGAATTAAATTAGAAATCAAAACCAGAAATATAGCTAGAATATTAACAAACATTTTGAAATTAAACACTTCCAGGTAACTTATGATTCACAAAAGCATCAAAATGAAAATTAGAAAACATTTAAATTGAATGAAAATTAAACATAACATTCAAATGAGGGATGCAGTTAACATAGTGCTTAAAAGAAAAGAAACAGCATTAAATATTTATGTTGTGCATATATTAGTAAATAAGAAAGGCCTCAAATCAGTTATCTAAGTTTTAGCTAAGAAAACATTCAAAACAATAACAAATCTAATCCAAAGCAAATAGCAGGAAAAAAAAATGAAGAAATCTATGCATTTGAAAGAAATCTAAATAGAGAAAATCAATATAATCAAAAGCTGATCCTTTGAAAAAAAAGAAAAGTGATAAAACATCACAATAAAAAAAAGACAAAAGAAAAGTCACCAATGTCAAGAAATAAAGATTCTACATTCACTGAAAACTCTACAATCATTTAAATTATAATACAGACATTTATAGCAAAACAAATAGCAAATAACAAATACAATCACAAAAAATGTATGCCTCAAATTTTCACAATTTTGATGAGATGGACAAATTCCTCAAAAGAAACAATCCACTAAAATTACTTATGGATCAACTGAACAATACCATATCTCTTAAATTAAATTTGTAGTTTGAAAACTTCAAAATAAATTTCCAGATCATTTCTTCACAGTGGTACTTAAAATTTCCCCAGGTCAATTCAATGCACATTCAGATTTTAAAATTCCTGCACTTGGCTCTACATCAAGAGGTGGTGGGAGTTATTGGTGAGCCACAAGATGATTGTGAGGATTAATTAAAAATTCTGGAGCAGCTGGGCTGTTTCATTAATCTCAAATAATGAAGAGTCAAGGCATTTGTTTAGGGTAGAAATTGCAGGCTGAATTGACAAGTGAGGAAAACCCAGGATATTTCCCTGGATCAATGCTTCTCAGCCAAAGTTGCAAATGAGTAAGAAACACTGGGGGTGAGACACAGGCATCAGTAATTTTTAAGCTTTCCAGGTGTTATCAATATAAGCCAATTTTGAGACCCATGAGGCTGACAGGTGGAGATTCTTAATGAGATTAGTGTTACATCTTTATAAACACAGATGAGTAAAGCGTTTTAAAGAGCAGTATTTTGTATCAGAAAGCTGTCTTTACCTCAGTTAGGAAAGAAACCAACTTGTCTAAATGCTTTGCACATATTAAGAAGGGAAGCCTGTCTGTCTAAATATACCGTCTGATTATCTTTGTACCATTCTAGAAATCTCTTCATGTGATTCTTGCCATGGATACTCTATAAATATTGTAGAAGAGGCAAAATTTTACCTCTACCTTCTGGGTGTTTTTAACTAGGCCTCACAATTAAATTGACAGGAAACACATAAACAAAAGAAAAACATACACATTTATTGAATATTAGTTTTATGTGACATGAAAGTATGCATAAGAAAATGCAGACTCAAAGATAGAGTTTAATGCTTATATATTGTATTGGACAAAGAGTAGTAAGTTGTGAAAAAATAACTAGTTTAAGTGGAGCGGCTAGAAGATAAGTTATTTTAATAGGTTACGTACAAAATTCTTCTGGGCTAAACTTCCATTGTTATTTTCATTCTAGTATAGGGAGAACAACTCTCATACGGAACTTATAACTCATGCTTTAAAGAAATAGTAAGAAGGTCAAAGTGATCTTATACCTGTTATTTTTCAATTGCCTTTAACTCAAAATAGTCAACATGCCAGAGTTACATATTTGGGGGTATTTGGGACATATGTGAAGGATATTCTTAGCTGCTTCAACATCAGTGATTCCATATCAGATAAAATCAATTAAAAAAAGATAGCAATGCAGTTGTATGAACAGACAAAACAGATGATCTTGAAGGTAAAAAAAAATGCAGAGAAAAAACAACATGCAAATATTCTAATCTGCATTTTCAAAATAGTTTGTATTGAACATAAAACCATAAACAAGTAATTCAAGTAATTGGAAATGAGCAAGATCCATACGTTGTAAACTACATTATTACAGAGAGAAATGGAAGACTAAATAAATGAAGATACATACTATGCCTATAAGTCAGAAAACTCAATAATATGTAAATTTAAATTCACCTCCAATTTGCTTTATAGGTTGAATGTTATCCTAGTATAAATCCTAATAGACACTTTTTGTAGAAATTGATTCTAAATTTTTTATGAGATGCAAAGGACCTAGAGTTGGCAAAATGACTGTGAAAGAGAACATTATTGTAAAGCACTGATTTCGATATGTACTAAGAAGCTACAGTAATCAGCACAATGTCGTGTTGATATAAAGACGGATTAATTGAAGAAAATAGCGATACATACAAATTTGAGTAAGATTTAGTGCATAACAAATATTTTATTGTATTAGAGACAGGGTCTCACTCCTGTCACCCAGGCTAGAGTGCATTAGTGTGATCCTAGCTCATTGTAACCTCTAACTCCAGGGCTCAAGTGATTCTCCCATCAGCCTCCTGAGTAGATAGGACTACAGGCACATGCCACCATGCTGGGCTAAGGTTTTATTTCTATAGAGACAGGGTCTCATTGTGTTGCCCAGGCTGATCTGGAACTCCTGTCCTCAAGTGATCCTCCCACCTCAACTTGCCAAAGCGCTGAGATTACAAACATAAGCCACTATGCTGGGACCATGAATAATATTTTCGACAAACGGTGTTGGAACAATCGTGCATCCATATTATACCTTCCCTGGAAAAGAAATTATCAATGTGTATTTCTTGTTTATGCAAAAATGAAATGAAAATGGATCCTAGGGTCAAATGTAAAATCTATAAAATATCTGAAAGAAAACATAGAATAAAATATTTATGACTTAGAGTTAGGCAAAGATTTCTTGTATATAAAATATAATTCATCAAAGACAATATGGATTAAATGAACTTTATCAAAATTTAAAACGTCTACTCTTTAAAAGGCATCATAAAAAATCAAATGGACAAGCTAAAGACTGAGAGAAAACATTTGGAAATCATGTATTTGATAAAGAACTTGCAGTCAAAGATCTCTTTAACATAGGGAAGTGATGAATGTTTGGAGTAATGGGTACCCTGGGTGCCCTGGTTTGATGTTTGCACATCGTATGAACTGTGTTGGGACATCACATGTGCCCCATAATAATTTTTAGAAAGACAAAAAAATTGATTTTTTAATGGATACAAATTTTGAAATGATACTTTACCAAAGAAGAGATATTAATACCAAATACATAAAAACTATGCTCAAGAAGGGGCTTAAGAGACTTGTGGGGATATGGATAGGTTCATTCTCCTGATTACCGCAGTGGTTTCTTGGTTGCATATATATGTCAAACTTACCTAATTGTAAAAATGCCACTTTGTAGGGACTAATTTTGTAGAAAAATATAAATAGATGGGGTGTTTAAATAACTCTTTTATTATCTTGAACTGTAATAGAAGTAATCATTTGATGTTAGTTATTGTGTCTAATACCTGACATCTGAGATTGTTCATGTAAATTCTCTTAATCAATTTTATTTAATTATATTTAATGGGAAAAACAGAATTTGGAGAAAACAAGCTACTGGAAGCAATAAATGTGTGAAAGATTCATTTGGTGCATGAGAGTGTCCTTGATAATATCATCATAGAAAGAAGTATAAGTTAGAAAATCTCTGAAAAGTATGATCATGCTAAACTCATGTCAATTATACGCAAACGTTCCTCCCTAGTAGATATTCTACAGGAGAGTATCTAGAAATATAAAGAAGTTTTGGTGGAAGATGTTATATAATTTGCATCAAGAAAATAGAGCCAATACAATTTGTGTCAATTATAACCTTATAAGAAAGTGAGTAAAATGTAGACAATTTATCACTAAACTTTTAACCAGCCAACTCTTCTCTCTACACCCTCATAAAAATGGCATTAACAAAATAATATAAAAACAAAGGAAAACCCCTACACAGTACAAAAATTGGACACCTATCTTAAGAAATTTTCTACAGCTTATAACAGCAAATATTTAGATTTTTTGATAACTACTTTAAAAGCATCTCAGAAAGTTTCTCATTCTACTCATGAAATGAGGTTGAAAATATAAATAACGTTATTCTTTATTTTTTCTCTCCTGAAAATCTTCAAATAATATAAACTCTGAATTTAGTCTCTTTGGTAAGTTTATTTCTATAGCTAACTTTGAGAATAAAAACTATTCTCTTCTGACGGGTGCTTTGTTAATTTGTTAAATTTGGAATAGAACATCTTTACTGTTTCAAACTCTCAAAATAATTGTACTTTCTACTTAAGAAATTGTTCAGACAACTTCTCAGGGCATTTGTCCCTCAGCTAGATAGAAGTTATTGTTATCTAAATCACCAGAGATCTAATTTTAACATTTTGGCAGATGTAATATCCTAAGATTGTGAAGTAAAAGTGACAAGACTAAAATTTGTATGTTCTGTTTTTTTATCTTGTCTATAGTTAATTAAATATTTCTTTGTATTCCATACAAGTCAAATTCTAATGTAGTGAAGGCAATTTTCATAAAAATTTTCACATATAGAAGATTTATTTGTCTTTGCTATCCGTGATTCACTAAGTCAGATAAACCCAGGCTTATTTAGGTTGCGGCTAAACCTGCAAAAAATAGTATATCTTAAAAAACATTAAAATAGAATTTTTCTTTTCAAAATAGCTTGACACAGTCTGCATGCCTACATTACACTGCAGTCTTAGATGCTTACATTACATTTGAAATGTAATTTTCAAATTCCTGAGAAAAGGGATTTGAAGTATTCAAGATGACATTTTATCATTAAAAAGCGGATGTCACTTGCACCCCTTACATTTATATGAATAAAAAAGTAAATGTTAACAAAAAAGCATCACTTTTTACCAAAAAAAAACAAAAAAGTTTTTACCAGATGAATGAGCATCCGTTTTTAAGTTCTTATTTAGAATAATAGTATTTATGTTCCATGTGAACAATTATTTCTTTAATGTTAGAAATGGCATTTTATTAAATTTTTAATGCACAGGTAAATAGCAATAAATAATGTGAGAGCTTTAATGCAACCAACCTTAATTGTATTACACCTCCAGTAATCATTAAACCATTAACTGATATTAAGAATACATTTATTATACAAAACAACCCTGTACTAATATATGTAATAAGTATTTTACAATACAAATTAAATGCAGAGACAAATCAGAGCTTCCCTATGCTTATATTTCTGAATCCCATGAGAGAATTAGTGAGAATAGGATAAAGACTGAAAAAATATTCTGTTGAGCCAAATTATTCATTCAACAAATATTGTTGCCATACTTTTTTTAGATGCTGAGATATATCAATAACATGTGCCCTCATGGATGGTATATTCTAGTAGAGATACATTTGGAATACAGTATTAATTAGGGTTGTAAAAAACTGTAGAGAATACAGTTTTAGGAGCATAAGCAGGCATTTGGTTTGAGATTTGTTACATTGATAAAACCTATCAGTCATCAAACTGGAGTTGTTTAATAAATATTTGTGTCTGGAGACCAAGTTTCAGGCAACGCAAGAAGTATACATCTGAGAGTCACTCTGGTGGATGAATAAAATTTTAAGTCATGAGATTGGATGAAATAAGGGAATGAGTGTAAATAGAAACTATGGTCTGAGGATCATGCTCCATGGCACTCCATGATAAGAAATCAGGGAGGTATGGCAAAACTAGTAAAGTGACTGGAAAAGCATAGCCAGAGACATTTAAGGCTGACTGTATTAATCCGTTTTCATGTTGCTGATAAAGATATTCCAGAGAGTGGGTTATTTATATTAAAAAAAAAAAAAAAGGTTTAACGGACTCACAGTTCCATGCGGCTGGGGAGGCCTCACGATCATGGTGGAAGGCAAAAAGCACATCTTACATGGCAGCAGGCGAGAGAGAATAAAAGCCAAGAGAAAAGGGAAATCCATTATAGTACCGTCAGATCTCATGAGAGTTATTCACTACCAGGAGAACAGAATGAGGGAAACTGCCCCCATGATTCAATTATCTCCCACCAGGCCCCTCCCACAACAGGTGGGAACTATGAGCGCTATAATTCAAGATGAGAGTTAGGTGGGGACACAGCTGAATCGTATCACTGACTATTCCCAAACAGTTTAAAAATTACCGTTTCTCCACTAAATTGTCTTTGCGTCTTTACCAAAACTCAGTTATCATATAAGTTTGGGTCTTCCTATAGGTGGATATATTTCCAGACCCTCTATTGTTTCATTTGTCAATATTTCCATCTTGTTGGGAACCACACTTTGATTACTGCAGCTTTTAGTGATAATTGATTTCAGATCTTACAACTTTGCTCTTTTTAAAAGTTGTATTAGCTATTCCAGAACATTTACATTTCCATATGAGTAAGAATCAGCTTGCCAATTTCTACTAAAAATAAAATTTTTATTGGAATTAATTTAAATCTGTAGACCAATTTGGAGAAAATTAACATCTTAGTATTAAATCTTCCAATGAATGAATATAGTGTGTCTCTTTATTTAGATATTCTTTAATCCATTCTCAGCAATACTTAATAAGTTTTACCATGTAGGTGTTGTACATCATGTATAACATATACCACAAAGTATTGAATATTTTATGCTATTGTGAATTTTTTTAAATTTAAGTTCAATATCTAATTTTTATTGTTTACACACAATACTTTTGTTTAATTATCCTGTGCTATACAAACTTGATAAACTTGCTACAAGATTTCTAGTAGAGTACGTGAACTTGCCTGCATAGATAAATATGCCATCTGCAAGTAGTAAGAATTTTACTTTTTTCCTTTCAATATTGAGGGCTTTTGTTTATATTTTTAAAGAACCAGAATTTGTCTTTATTGAATTTCTCTACTGATATTTTTCTTTCCTATGTTATTGGTTTTTCCTGTTATCTTTATTATTTTATTCTTTCTCTTCTTTTGAATTTTATTTGCTCTTCACTTTCTATTTCCACAATAGAGTAGTTGAAGTATTTAGTGTGACAAATTTCCCTCTAAGTACTGCTTTTGATGTATCTCACATATTATAACATATTGTATTTTTTATTTGCTTATTTAAAAATTATTTCTTCTTCCTCTCTAAATTCTTTAACTTTGGGGTTATTTAGAAGTATCTTACTTAGTATTTGGCTGGGCGCGGTGGCTTGCGCCTGTAATCCCAGCACTTTGGGAGCTGAGGTGGGCGAATCATTTGAGTTCAGGAGTTCAAGACCAGCCTGGCCAACATAGTGAAACCCCTGTCTCTACTAAAAATACAAAAATTAATCGGGCATGGTGGCAGACGCCTGTAATCCCAGCTACTCAGGAGGCTGAGGCAGGAGAATCACTTGAACCCAGGAGGCAGAGGTTGCAGTGAGCTGAGATCACACCACTGTACTCCAGCTTGGGTGACAGAGCAAAATTCTGTCTCAAAAAAGAAAAAAAAAAAGTAGTATCTTATTTAGTTTTAAATTCTCTGATTCAAAGAACAAGTAAACAGAAAGAACAGAATATTTTGAGTATATTTTTCTTACTAATTTTTTGTTTAATTGTATTGTAGTGACAGAATATGCTCTGCATAAAATAAATCCCTTAAAATGTATTGCAAATTTTATGGCCCAGAATCTTAGCTATCTTTAAATATTTTATATGCACATTTAAATGATATATATTCTGCTTAAATTGGGTAGAATATTCTAGAAATTATAATTGGCAATGTTGTTCAGGTCTCTTACAAATATTAACTTTGTGTCTACTTGTTCTATCAATAATGAAGAGAAAGGTGGTAAAATTTCCAACTATTGTTGGGGATTTGTCTAATTCCCTTTGTCTGTGAGGTTTTGCTTTGCGTATATTGGAGCTCTATTAGATGGTTTGTAAATGTATATCATAGTTATGTTCTCTATCCCTTGTAATAATTTGTAGTCTAAAATGCTTTGTATAACATGAGTATAGCCATTCCATCTTTCTTTTTTTTATTTTAACATGGTATATCTTTTCAATACTTTGATTTTCAACATATTTGTTATTAATTTTTAAATTAGTTTCTTATAAGCCTCATGTATTTAGACCTTATTTTTTAAACTATATTGAAAATGTCTTTTAATTGTGATTTTAGATTTCTATTTAATATGATTATATTGTGTTAAAATCTTGTTGATATTTTTTCTATATATTTTTGTTTTTTATCCTTTTTTCTCACACTTTTGAATTAATTTTATGATATCATTTTAACTCTATTATTGACTTATTAGTTATAAGCTCCTCCCATTTTTCTATTTTAGTGCTTAACTTAGGGCTTATGAAGTATATGTTTAATTTATTAAAATCTACCATCAAGCAATACTATGCCTATGCATATATTGTATGATAATCTTGCTATAGTACACTTTCAATTTTTTCTCTTTCAGCTTTTGCATAATTGCTGTCGTACATTTTATCTTGGCTTGTAAGTTGTCAAATATAGTGTACTGTCTTTGCTTTAAACATACATATAGCTTACAAAGATTTGTTTAATAGTAAGTAAAGGTATACCTTGTTTTTACTCACATATTTATTGTTTCTGGTTCTCTTCACTCCTTCATTTAAATCCAGAGTTCTATCTGACATTTTCCTTTTTCTAAAGGAAGTTTCTAAGTTATTTGTACTATAACATTTCTTATAGTACAAATCTGCTAGTGATGAAATTTGTCAGCTTTTATATATGCAGAATGGTCTTCATTTCACCTTCATTTTTGACATATACTTTTGCTGAGTTGATTATTTTTTCTTTCAATACTTTGAAGAAAATTTTTCAGTGTTTTCTAGCTGTATCCTTTATAATGAGAAATTAGCTGTCTTTCTTTTGTTTCTCAGTTTTTATTTTTTATTGGTAATTTTAAGTTTATTTTTTGTGGCTGGTTTTAAGCAATTTGATTATGATATGCCTTTGATCTCCTCCTGCTCTTCTTCCTCCTCCCCCCCTCCTCCTCCTCCTCTTCTTCCTTCTCCTAGGGTTTATTTAGTTGTTTGGATCTGTAAGTTTATGGTGTTTATTCAATTTGGACAATTTCAGCCACTGTTTCTTTAAATATTTTTTTTCTACCTTTTTCTCCTCTCCTTTGCGGTCTTAAATTACATGTATATCTGGCTACAGTTGTCCAACAGTTTACTGATGCTGTTCATTTTTTCAGTCTGTTTTCTTCATGAGTTTGACAGTTGATAGTTTCTCTTACTGTCTTCAAGTTCACATATCTTTTCTTCTGCAGGGTCTAATATGACATTTTTCTCATCCATTATATTTTTCTTTTAACATATTGTACTTTTTATCTCACAGACTTTGGGTTATGGTGATATTTTACGTATCTCTGTTTAACATGCTCAATCTTTTCTATCTATACTCTTGAACATATGTAAGACAGAAGTAATCATCTGTGTCATTTATGTGTTTGTTTTCATTGAATGCATTTTCTCCTCATAATATGTGTTCCAACTTTTTAATGCTAAACCTTTTTTTTTTGGAGAGCAGAAATTGTAAATTTCACCACATTGTGTGTAGGATATTTTTGCTGTAAATAGTCTCATGCTTTTTTTTTGTTTTTTAGAATAAAGTTTAGTTACCGGGAAGCAATTTGAATTTATATTTTGTTCAACAGGAGCAAAGAGACCTTCAGGACTAATTTTGCCACAATATTGATGCAAAAAATAAAAAAGTAAAATAAAAAAAAAAACTTCTATGAATGTTACCCAATGTCCCATAAATTATAATGTTGATCTGTTGGTTAGAAGCCTGGCCCTGGCCCTGTGTGATTGTAAGCACTATTTATTTTTCCTCCTGCTCCTTTTGAGTAATTTTTCCTTGCCTTGTATACATTTCTTACATATGTACACTGAGAGTACTTAGTTGAAAACTCAAGAGTGGTCTTTGTCAGATACCAACTTTGGAGCACTCTCTCTCGAGCTCTTTCCTTTTCAATACCCTGCCATGTCAACTCTAGTGCTTTGGTCATCTATGTCTTTTAACTGTTTCCTCAATTGAGGACAGCTGTCTCCATCCCCAATATTCCCTCTGCTACCACCTGAAAACTCTCTCGTCAGTAAACTGTGGTAATTTTAGGATTCATTTTATTTGTTTCCCTTCTCTCAGAGATCACTTTTCTGCACTGCTCGATATCCAAAGTCTGAAAACCATTTGACATATTTGTAGTTGTTTCACTTTCAGGATAAACTGATATAAGAAATAAACTCCTCATTCACCTTTCAGTAACTTACCTATAGTTATTTTTTAATTTTTATTTCCAAGGAGTGCTTTTCATATTTTTGCACTAAATGTGAGCTTTGTCTTTTTCGGGTTATTTTACTTCAAACTTGAGCCTTTTTTCCCTTCTTTTCTCTTCTCTATGGTTTTCATTTTACTTCAGACTCTACCTTGCGCTTCACAAGGTTTTGAAGTGAGAAGGAAAAATATTTTGGCTTTAAATGCTGTTTATTTTTGTGTACTGCTGATAATTTGAAATTTGTAGAGTTCTCTTTTAGTTACGCTGAATGCATTAGATTTATATGGATTTGTTAATGCTTCCTATTCGCTATAGTTTTGGAGGGTTGGAGGATGTTTTGCGACATTCTGTTTTGTGTGGAACTAATATCTCAGCTACGCCGGAAGTCTTTATTACTTTTTTTAAAAATATGTGACTGTAGAAACAATATGAAAGACACATAGAGAAACAACAGATTTGTTTAATGTTAAAAGAATGTCCAAGTGTCTGAGCATTTTAGAATAATTAAATATTCAATTAAATTTAAAATATATAGTTGCATAGTTCCACATTTTGATTTCAAACCCAACAATATGTATAAAATGGGGAAGTCATGACTAGGAAAAGACATATTTAAAAAGATATTTACAGCTTTATTTGGCTACAGACTCATTCAAAATGGTTATTATAAGACAATGAGATATATACTTAACATTGATATAATAACATCATTTAGAGAATGTATCTCCCAAGTATAAAAGCATCAGTATTTAAAGATAAATTCAAGGATGTTTATTTAAAACATACTTCTAAATTCAAAAGGCATGAAAAAGAATAAAAACTACCAAATTGCATATCTATAAGAGAAATACATTTGACTAAATATCAATATATCATACCATAAAATTTCATACAACTATAAAGTGAATCACATCTGCATTTTAGTAATTTTTTGAGAGAACCTCAAGTTGAAAATTAAAATGGAATGTCTGCTATATGTGTCAGCTTTTATTTTATAAGAATAATTGATTTTATTCATGTTTATTTATGTGAAGAAAGTTAAATATGTGGAGAAAGTTAAAGATCAATCCTCAACAGGACATTGACATTAACATTAGTTACATATATGCAGAAAATTAAAGATTAATACTCAATATGCCATTGACATTAAGTCCAGCAGTAAGATTGGACCTTAGAGGAAACCATATATGCTGTTTTATTGTTTCACCTGCTAAAAAGTAAGTGGATATTATGTTAGAATTTTTCAAAATATATAAAAAGAAAGGGACATGCATTAAAAAGTTACATCTCACAACAAATATTAGCCTACGAAAATCAAAATATAAGGAAAGTATTATCGACAACATGTCCAGGACTCCTATTTGTTCAAAAGCTGAATTAAGTAGCTCCTTTGAAAGAAAAAAAGTTTGCCCCCAAAGATTGGCACTAGAATATGTCTACAGCTTTTTGCCTTTTACAACACTATAAGTGTGTGCACTTTCTCATTTTGAATCATACCTTATAATTGAAGGGATTTATAAAAATCTTAAAGGAATCATTTCAGGAAGAAAACTATTGCAAATGAGAAAAATTGAAAAGATTTAGAGCTGGTAAGCTTTGAAATAAACAGACAGAAAAGGAACTTAATGAGTTTCCACAAATATTTAAAGAGTGATTAGAATTGTACTTACAAATTTTTATTACTTTTCATAGAGAAAGAAGCAAGAGAAAATAATACTAAAACCACCAATTGTTTGGTTAGAATTTAAGTAGGATTTCTTCCCTGGAAAGGCAATTAACAAATGAAAGATGTTAATTAGAAACTTGATTAAATCATTACTCATAATAATAAACTACACAATCCTTTATGTTAATACAACTTAATATTTGTCTTACACATGTATATATTACATTTTATTTTTGTTTGCTGTGTAATCTTCAGAAATACTCTATGTAATAAAAAAGACATTATCTCCATATTTATCTATAAATATTTCTGTGTTGAAGGAGGTACACTATGTCATATAACCTCTTTTGGTAACAAAACACGTTTGTATATAGATCATCAATTACATATTTTATACAAAACTACAAGCATATTACAAAAGTACAAGCATACTTTCCAAGAGTGAGATACTTGATTCTTCAAGAGCCAGCACATATTTTAAATGGACCCTCAGCAGAGCTTCAATAAATACACAGTAAAAAGACAGTATGTTTTAAAATAAAATTTTTGGAGTCTCTTTCCATTCTCTGATCCTAATAATGAAATAATCTATTTTAAAAGAGAAGCATTATTGAAAGAGATAAAATGTCTTTCTTATAGAATATATCTTTCCTGCACAGTACAAAGTTTGCTATAAGCATTCAGTATTTCAGTATATTCCCATTTCATTATTTCTCACCATAGAAAGAAGGTCTCTTGAACCTACATTTTAAGGAATTTCTTCTATTATTTGAAATTCAATGACATTGACTCAAATTCTTAAAATATTTGTATCTGGGTAAAATAATTTTAAAATTATGTTTTGAAAAGAATACAAATTTTCATATGTTTACTTAAGGTGAATTTAAATGTCCAAATTTTATGTCGCCACAATAATTATCTATAAAAATTATTGTGAATTATCTAATTAAGTCCTATCATATATATAGAAGATACATTAATTCAAGAAAATTAGATATGTGTTTGCTTTAGATTGCTGAAGTGTATCACACATGCACATTTTTAAAACTATGATAGCAGTTTAGAGAAAATAATATTGTCCCAGAATGGGTTCTCCAGGAAGCAACATTTGAAATTAAATTCAATGTGCAGAAGGTCTACTAGGGCAGGGTCTTGGGATCAACAGCTACTTACAGCAGAAGCAGCAGCAGATTTGAGTAGCTGGAGAAGTGAAAGCGTAATGCCAACTGGGCAAAAGCCTTCTCCGATTCAGTGGTAGGATCTGGAGCAAATACGGCTCATTGGAGTTGTCCTGGGCTAGTCTGAAATGGCTAAGACTTTGTAACCTCTCCTGTAAGTCATTAGAGGTGGACTGCTTAGGGAACGGAATGACTTTGAGCAAAGTAATCCTTGGCACTGAGGTAGTCCCTGAAAGGGGCTGACAACTGAATAACATCTAATGCTCCCAGCAGCTGGTACAATAAGCCCTTCCAGGAAGATACATATGGGTTGAGCTTTACCATGTCAACCACAATCAGTTGTAAGGTGTACAATCTGAGTTATAAAACACAATTGTACTTGCAGAACATTATTCCACACTCAAATATTAATGAGAGATAATTTATTTTACCACTGGAGGTTATTTTAATGATATTGGTTTTGATGCATAATGTTATGATGGTATATGGATTTTTAAATTTTGATTCTATTTTGCTTGGTCCTGAAGGGATGGGTCCTATCTGTTGTCATTTTAGCTTTGCTTTGGTTTTTCTCCTGTAACAACCCCCTTTATTCAACATGTGAGTTATGTAATAGCAGAAGAAAATTAAATGAGAGATGTTTTTTCAAAGATTCTGAAATTTTTATGTTAAAAATAACTAAGTAATACTCCCAGATTTTTATGCTGTGAGTTTTTTAAGTGGAATTTTAACGGCTTGGAGATAATTATTCACTAAAGAAGTATCACATATGTTTTGTATTGTTAGTTTTAATAATACCCAGGAAAATCTACATTAAAAATATCCTTTTATGAGATTTCTTCCTGATGCATATTAACATAAATCAATTTGATGATTCACACTTATTAGGTTCCTTTTAGTTGGAGGTAGGTAATAAATACAGGCCTTCTAACTGACAACATTTTTATCAGGTATAATATTACAATAATTGTAATTTTCAGGAGGAAGCCTACTATATGTATCTTTATGGGCAAACAGATCCAAAATACTTTGATAGCACCGGTTCTCCATTCTCACTGCAGTCACAGATCTTTGTTCTTTGGGTAGAACGACGCCACCTTATATGAAAGATTCATTCAAAGCAGGTGCAGCCATATTTGAGAGATACAATTTAGCTCAACTTTTACAGATTCATGTAACAAAACATGTTACTGGACACAGAACCTATTTGGAATCATAAACTTAAGATATTATTTCCAATGGAGTAGATTATAGGGCTGGATACATTCTTAAAACTCTGTTGTTTCAAGGGCACATTCCTATACAGTAGTTTAACAATTCACACCTTATGAAAACCACTTACTTTATCAATAAAAAAGTCATTTCTGTGATATATTAGACTAGCACACTCTAAGATGTTGAGTAGATACCATGTTAAAAGAAATACTTAATAGTAGCTTACCCTGCATTGCGGGCTTCTAAATGAAAATCACTTAAACCAGGGGTACCCAACCCCTGGGCCACACACCTATACCCCTTTGTGGCCTGTTAGGAACCGGGCTGCACAGCAGGAGGTGAACATCAAGTGAGCAAGCATTACCGCCTGAGTTCCGCCTCCTATCAGATCAGCAGGGGCATTAGATTCTCATAGGAGTGCAAACCCTATTGTGAACTGCACATACAAGGGATCTAGGTTGTAGGCTCCTTATGATAATCTAATGCCTCATGCTATTTCATCCCAAAACCATACCCCTCCCCGTCCGTGGAAAAATTGTCTTATACAAAACCAGTCCTTGGTGCCATAAAGGTTGGGGACGGCTGATTTAAATGCTAGCTGACATCCTCTCGAGAGTGCCTTCCTAAAGAGTACAGTTTAGAAATTAGCTGTTCTTGGTTAAAGGGGATAGTTTACAACTAATTAATGCACAGACATATTTCTTAACCAGGCTGATATATGTTAAAGTAAATTATATATAATTTAACATAGGCATGAGAACATACAAATAAGACTAAACACAAGAACATAAAAAAAAATTAAAAAACAGAATAAGGTTTAAAATGTTATTTTTTAAGTAACTTTGTTAACTATAGTAACTACATTTGGAGATCATCAAAATGTACCACCGATATACCGTACATTGTTTTCAGTATGCATGACAGCTCATGAATGTATTACCATACACAGGATCAAAACAATCTATTATGGCTCACGCCTGTAATCCTAGCACTTTGGGAGGCCGAGACGGGCAAACAGCCTGAGGTCAGGAGTTTGTGACCAGCCTGGCTAACATGGTGACACCCCGTCTCTACTAAAAATACAAAAATTAGCCGGGCGTGGTGGTGGGCGCCTGTAATCCCAGCTACTCGGGAGCTGAGGCAAGAGAATCACTTGAACCTGGGAGATGGAGTTTGCAGTGAGCCAAGATCACGCCACTGCACTACGGTCTGGGTGACAGAGGGAGACTCCATCTCAAAAAAAAAAAAAAAAAAAAAAAAAAAGACAGTGTATTAGACGTTACTACCTAATTGCCTCATGAGGTCCATGACCAAACAGTATGATATAGATTCTAAAACATACCTGACATTAAACTCCAACATTTGATAGCTTAGCATATTGGTTTAAATAATTAAAATTTTAAATATTTTCAATGAAAAGGTGAAGTTAGAAACTGAATCCGAACTAAGAGAAGGAAGTGTGCATGTGTGAGAAACATTATAAGAGTTTGTGAGAGAGTATGTGTGTATCTTTATTTCCATAACAGGAAAACAAATTCTGGACACCAGATTGTCATGCATGTGATGAGGTCACAATAAAAGAGAACAGAGTTTTAAGTGGCCAGAAAGGTATGGGGAAAGACAACTTTTAATATTGTAAAAGTATCAACAATGTTAAACACTCAAAGCTCTGCTTCAAGCTATTTGGAATGTATACAAACCTAGAACAATAAATGTGTGGCACATATTGTTAGAAATGGTTTTCTAATGATGATTACCCTGCTATACAGGATGGTGGGGCTGTTTAGTTCACAAAACAGTAATTACTATCTTCTGTGTGATTCATGTCATTAAAATGTTGCCTGTGCTTGGAGAGCCCTAACAGAAATAACCCTAACATAATCAAATTCATGACTTTTATCCAAACAAAAAACTAACTCATCAGCCATGATAGAGCAGCCAGTGTTTTGACTTAGTATCAGAAACTAGCATCTGGGCAAGTCATTTTAAAATCGCCTCAAGTTTTTACTCTCCCAGCAGTGTAGCAGAATAAAGAGAAAGACAGTATAAGAAACACATAACTACAGCCTCTTAGAGACATAAGGGTCACGTCGCCCAATCTCCATCTCAATGAAAGAACACCTTGCACAGCATCCTTCAGAAATGGCCTTTGGTCTCCCTTAAATAAATCCCATGGCAGGGAGTACGTTGTGGAGAGGCTTCCTTATTTGGAAAGCTATTATTCTCAGAAAGTTCTTGATTATTTAGAGTGAAAAATGTGTCTGCCCATTGTTCCTTGTTCTACATTTTAAAAGCATACAAAATAAATCAACTCCCTCTTCTAAATGAAAGTTTTTAAGATACTTTAAGATGCAATAATGCCTCTGGTTAAGCTTTTTCTCTCCAGGCCAAGACTTTACATTTTCCTGAATTTGTCCCTCACATAAACCCTTCAAATCTGTTTAGAGAGTATTAGTTGGTCAATCTTCGCTTTCTGTGTGGCACCTACAATACAATATATTGTGCTATTTGTAGGATAGCAAAGAATCATGGTCAGAGACTATGTTCTCATCTGGACACTACACTGCTGTAAATGCAAGTGAATGTGGATGTAATCAGAGCTATATGTATATGTCTTCTTGCTTGCTTTCACCAAGATTATCACACACTTGTTTCTATAGAACTTGTCAAAAAAAGATATCCTATTTGTAATCAAGATTTCTACTTGCTATGCAAATATATTTTTTTTACTTTTGAAAGCTTTTTGGTTTCTGTTCATCATTACAGCTCGTTCTGATCTTCACAGTCCAGGTATACTGAATTTCTTCACATATACGTACTCTTATTCTCTCTTCTACTTCAAGGTCTGTGCAGCTCCTGTTTCTCTTCCCAAAAGGCCCTTCCCAATCCCACATTGCCTTAGTCAGCTTGGCTGCTAGAAAAACAATACCATTAACTGAGTGGTTTAAGCAACATTTATTTCTCACAGTTCTGGAGGTCTGAAGTCCAAAATCAGGGTGCCAGTAGCATGAGTTTCTTGGTGAGGGCCCTCTTCCTGGTTTATAGACAGATGTTATTGCTGTGTCATCACATGGCAAAGAGCTAGCTAGCTCTCTAGCTTCTTCTTACAAAAGCAAGTATCTCATTCACGAGGGCTCCCTTTCATGACCTCATTATCCCCCAAAGATCATCACCTTCAAATACCATCACATTGGAATTAGGGTTTCAACTCATGAATTTGTGGGGGACATGAACATTCAGTCCATTGCATATACACACCCACTCACATTCATTATTCTTAATTTCCTTTAGCTGGCTCACTAACTTGCATTTTCTTCAGTTCCAAATTTACAATCCTCCAGGAGGGTCTCAATGAACAGCCAGTTATATGTAATTTATATACTGAAGAGCTCCTTGTTAACACTCAGTATTCTCACCAAACAGTCAGCATTGGTTTCCAGTGTTAAACAGAGCATGCTGTGCGTGCAGCATCCATGTTTGCCCTCTCCCCTGCTATAAGCCAGGCAGGACACAGAGGGCTTGGTACCTAGTAAGTATGAATCTACTAAGCTATGGAGTCAATGTGGAATTTTGATTCCACTCTGCAGTATGTCAGCAACCTCTATCTGTTTTCAGTCATCCTTTTTGATACCTACTAAGGTAGTAAAGAATGTAAAATACAAAAAGGCTAAGGTTGTCCTATGAAATTATATTAAAGTACAACTTTTATCTGATATTTTTACATATTTTAGATAATATTTTGCTTTAGGTAATATTTTAGATAATAATATACTATGAACCCTCCTATTTGTATTGCTTCCTCCAAATTATAACACATTTTGCTAAAGACCATAATAAAATGAAAATATAGTATATCCATGCCATTTTCCTAGTAATGATACTTGAAAGAACATGACAGAACTCATGCAACTTCTTAGTGAGTCTGTGTAATGGGATATGGGGTAAGCAAAATAAGAACATCAAGATGTCAGATTATTGCTAGCTATGTGAGTTTAGATTAGTATCACATTTTCTTCATTGGTAAAGTGAAGATAATAACGTAGTTATATCATAGACTTTTGTGATAAATAAGTTAGTAGCTATCACCACCTCTATCAATTTGCTGATTGCTCTCAGTATTCAGAAAACCATTTGTCTAAAAATTTACTCTGGAATTTTACAAAGGATCAATATTAAGGTTACCATCATATTATCCCCAGACCGAACATTTAAAAAATAGAAACTTAAACAAAAATAGTCATCTTCCTCCAAACTTTAACTCCTCTCTCAATTTTGATTCATGAGAGATTACAAAAGTAGATACAAAACCACTTCTGGCTGGGCACTGTGGCTCAGGCCTATAATCCCAGCACTTTGGGAGGACAAGGCAGACGGATCACGAGGTCAGGAGATTGAGACCATCCTGGTCAACGTGGTGAAACCCCATCTCTACTAAAATACATTAAAAAAAAAATAAAAAAAATTAGCCGGGCGTGGTGGCACACACACCTATCGTCTCAGCTAATTGGGAGGCTGAGGCAGGGGAATCGCTTGAACTGAGGAGGTGGAGGTTTCACTGAGCCGAGATCGTGCCACTGCACTCCAGCCTGGTGACAGAGTGAGACTCCATCTCAAAAACACACACACACACACACACACAAAAGAAACAAACAAACAAACAAAAAACACATCATACTTTAATAGCTTAGAACTCTAAAAAATCATTTGTCTTAATGTATGCCATGAGTTGGCACACTTTGTCTATAAAGGGCCAGAGGGCAAATATCTCTCACTTTGCAGACTCTACCATCTCTACCTCAGCCAATCAACTCTGCCTATAGCACAAAAGCAGATATGGATAATATATATGTGAATGAGAATGGCTGTGAAACAATAAAGCTTTATTTACAAAAGCAGGGAGCTGGCTGGATTTGGCTTGCAGACTGTAGTTTGCCAACTCCTTGGCTGTGATTTTGAACTCACTTAAAAATAGCAATTTGCATTCATATTTTCTGTTCTGTTTTAGCATGCATATGTAACACTTTCATATTTGAACAGTGATATACTTGGCAGAAAAGGAGGAATATAGAAATTATAAATTTCTGCCTTTAATCGAATAAATCTGATTGCATTGACACATCCTTTCTTTTTCCATCTTATACTGTTCCTTAGGCTTTACATACACTTTGTTGCTTGTAGTCAACTTTTTAAAACTCAATCTGTATTTTAGACTTCCCAAGGATATTCTTAAAGAGTCACAACAATGCACAATGTTTTTCAACATTGATATACATTGCCCTTTCTGAAATTTGAGTATTTTCTTTCACAATTTGAGATTAAAATATAGTGTTAATAATTTCTTTAGATAAATGTCTTTTTTCCTCCTCATTGAAATTGTTCTCAATTGCAGAGTTGGAACTGTATTTTAGAAACTCTCATTATCCTTCACCTGTGACGCCTTAACAATTTTTTTTAAAAAGAGTTTATTGAAATATAAGCTATATATGAATGTGAGCAAGTCATAAGTGTATGGCTTAATCAATTCTCACCAAGTAAGTATACCGTATAACCTTCTCCAGGTCAAAAAGTTAAAAAAGAGAGAGACAGAGATCTAGAAATAGCGAAATTCCTAGTCTATACGTGCCCTAAGGGCAAATGTTATCCTTAATTACGATACCATATGGTAGATTTATCTGCTTTTGTATTTTATATAAATGAAATAACACATTATATATTGCCTTCTCTTGTTCTTCATTATATCTGTGATTCATTCATTATGATAGAAGTCGCAGTAGTAATCCTTTCATTCTCATTGAGGTATTTGGTTTTATTTTTAATACAGCACTGGTTATTTATCCTACGTAATTTTGATGAACATTTACATGATTTTCAGTTTGTTACTATTTCATATAGTTCTGTGAACATTCTTGTACATTTCTTTTGGTAAACACATAGATAAATTCTGTTGAGTTATGCCTAGGAGAGGAATTGCTGGATAATAGGTTATACCTATGTTCAGGTACAGCCAACCTGTTTTCCAAAGTGATTGTACCAATTCCCATTCCTCCCTGCAATAGATGACACTTCTAGCTTCTCCACATCATCACTCAAAATTGGTTTTATTAATAATAATAATAATTTGAAAAACCCTCATGCATGCTTAATGAAAAATAGAAACAGGGCAGTTTCTTTCTTTCTTTTCTTTCTTTTTTTTTTTTTTTTTTCACTCACCGATGTCTTGACACTGCGTTTGATTTATTTCCACACTGAAAGTCGTTTTCCACCTGGCTTTTTTGAATGATTGCTTATGGCAAGACAGGTGCCTGCTCTTCAAGCTCTTACCCCTTGGGGTCTAGCAGGAAAGCTGGTGTGCATTTGCAGCATGCATAGTAGGTATCATCTGAGGCAATGAACCGATCAGACAGGTCATTATGTTTCCATACTGTCTGAGTATTGCTATCTGTTGGAATCATCCACTAATTAGCCACTTTTCTGGATCACAGTCACACACAGAGTTATCTACACATAACAAAAAAACTCAGTCCACCCAGATCCAAGCAAGTCCAAGCTGTTGTGACATACAGTGAATAATTTGACTTCTCAGAGCTTAAATTTTCTTACCCATAAAATAGAAATCATACTGATCTCTCACAGTATCTGGGGGAAGAAAACATATATTAAGTATGTGATTAAGCATTCAGTGTTTTATATCTACTAAATAGTAGTTACTTTATTGTTCTTTCATCTAACTTTCCTCAGTGTTCTTTATTGACTTTGTGGAAAAATCTTCAAGGCCAGACTGAATTTTGGGGTGTATATACCCTTGTGTTTACTAAATTCCAGGCAGTCTTAGGGCAAGAGAAGTTAATTTTGTTTCCTTCTTCCACAGAGCTGAATCTAGAATTTCAGAGGATAATAAATTTGTCTTCTGCATTCTCAGTATCATCCCTATTCCACATGCTTTCCATGAGACTATTTAGTCTTTCTCTTTTGCTGCTAAATACACATACCATGTTTTGTTCATATTTTGGGATACATGGTGAACAGGGCAAAACTGTCTACAAATTTTTTCACAGTTCTTCTGGAAAATACACCACATCACCCAGCAGTATCCAGTGGGCCACTTTTAAGTTACTTCTGTTGTAACTATGTCAGAAGTACTTAACTTCACTGAGATTCTTCTCTACCTCTTTCTTTATCAAACACACTGGAACACAGAAAATCGACAAATAGAGAGCAAATGGCTTTCCTGACTCTGTGACACTGATAGCTTTCTAGCCATTCAAATGAAACAAGCAGAGCCTTTTATTTTCACTTTAGGCTGTCAGCATTAAGTGCAACACATACTGGGCTAAACACCCACTTAACATTTAATTCATGTACAATCTTGGACACTTGCTTATCTTGCTTAAGTTTTTTAAGGTGTGATGTCTCAAGGACATTAGCCAATTCATATATCCCTTCTTTTGCCTACACTCTCTAATACAGGAATAAGCTGGTCAGCAAGTATTTCTTGTGGATTATATAATGAATTGTTTAATAAAATGAAAGGCATACAAATATTCAGGCACAATTTATATTATACCTCAATAATGTATCCTTGAATATAGTTAATGCTTTTTACTTAGACAATATTCTCAATGCATTTTTGCTTATCTTCAACTATAGTACTTCTATATTTTCATTGAATAATAACCTGCTATCTTTATGGAAATGTTTCACTAATATACCCAGAACCATTGCTAGTATTTATTTATTTGCTCATTTTAAAGATACTGTCTCACTATGTTGCTCAGGCTGGCCTCAAACTCCTGAGTTCAAGGCATCTTCCCATCTCAGCCTCCAGAGTAGCTGGGACTACAGATGTGTGACACCTCGCCCAGTTTGCTAACATTTATTGAGCATTGTTTACCTGTCAGAACCTCTTTTGTGTTTCATGTGTATTGTTCATTAACCCTCACAACATCTCAGTGAGATTGGAATTATTATTACAGATGGAGAAATTAAGTCTTTTAAATAACTTACCAGAGATCACTCTGGTATTTAGTGGCAATGACTAAGATATGAACTACCTTGCTATGCTGATTACTGATCCAGTGTATCCCAAAATATTTGAATATATAAAATACACTGTAAGAATGCTCCTTTCAAAAAGAAATATTGTCTACCTTACTGAAATATTATTAATAATATTGCTGCATACCACCCCCACAATAGCATTCTTTTAAAAAGCAATAAGAAAACCCTAGAACAGCTTGGTTATTTGTTGTTACTTCATAACTATCTCTAGCTTAAAAATCCTTCATCCAAGGCTATACCAAAGTATCTGACAGAAAATCCACTGACTGTCAGAGACAGTGGGCTTTTTGTTTTGTTTCTTTTTTAAACATGCCTGTGAATTTGTCTTTCTCCGACTCTGATTTAATCAAAAGTCATGCTCCCTGAATCAAAGATGTTGAACAATCAGCAAAGCCTGGAAACATGGATGCTCCAAGCCTACCTAAGGAAGGAGATGGGAGGAAAGGCAATATTCCCAATGGAGTTCTTCCCACGTGCTCTACAGTCTTGCCAAAGTGTCCCCTGTGTACTAGTAGTATCAGCATCACCAAGGAGTTTGTTAGAAATGTAGAATCTCAGGCTCTACCTCACACATACTACGAGAGAATCAATTTCAAGATGATCCGTGAGATTTCCTCCTCTTGGTACAGACACTCTCTGTGAGCGTCTCCCCATGATTGCGAGTACGACTTGTCAACATGACGGGATTTATTCCAATAATTTGGTTATATTACATGGCAAAGGTAGAAGGACTTCGGTGATATGCTAAAATGTCCTAATTAGTTGACTTTAATTCATTCCAGGGGGAGATTATCCTGGGTGGGCCTTGCCTAATTGGATGAGTCCCTTAAATGAGAGTCTACAGGTTATTCAGGGAGATTTGAAGCAGGAGAGATACACTCCTGTTTGTTGTGAAGGAAGAAACTGCCTTATGCAGATGACCACATAGCAGGAAATGGTGGGATGCCCTATGAACTGAAGTTCTTGGTTCTACAACCACAAGGAAATATATGTTGCCAACAATCAATGAACTTGAGGGGGGATGTGAGATCGCAGCCCCTGGCAACAGCGTGGCTCTAGCCTGCTGAGAGGCTGAGCAGAGGAGCCAGATAACTTGTACCTGCAATCCTGACCCAGTGGAAATGATAAGATAATAAATGTGTGTTGTTCTAAAGCATTTAGTCTGTGGTATTTTGTTTATAGCAATAGAAAACATACACATGCTAAACGAGAATCTGCATTTTTAATAAGAATCCCAATTGATTCTTATTCCCATTAAAGTTTGAAGCATTTCCCTATAGTCTACAGCAGAAGTAACACTGTCAACATCACCTCCACAGGAAGAAATTACATATAACAGAGATCACAGGAATTATTTATGATGAAACTTAAAAGTTAAAAATTAGCATACATGCTTAGTATTTGAATATTTATTTATTTATAAATTAGGCACAGCTATGATTGTAAAATATATTTTGCAAATTATAAAATATACACACAATAGAAATTTTAAAAGTTGAAATAACATTTGACAATATTTTATTTTGTATTTGAAAATACTTTTTCTCATTGAATATTAACAATATTAATATATCTATTTATATATTTATATTACATGATCATGGTGGCAATTTACTCAATGCTCAGGGGATTTTCTAAAAATTTTTAGATCACATTATCATTTAGAAATTCAAATGTAAGCAATTAAGTTTAGATGTACACTTAATTTTTATATGTGTGATAGCTATTCAATTAATATGTTTACATATAATGTAATATGTTATAATATTGGCCAGGAACAAGAAGCACATAGAGTGCACAAATTTTGCTTTCTACAAATACTATTCTCCAATATGAGGAAGAGGGAATAAATGGCCAATTTTAGGACTGGGCAGAACATTTAAAAGATAAGCTTGGAGGTTTTTCTAGGCTAGAAAAAAAGAGAAATGCTCAAAAAACAAAATAAAACAAAGAAACAAAAGAAAATGTACAATGATGGGCATATTCCTAAGGGATACAAGAGCCAATTTTGTCTTTTTACCAATGGCCAATGCTGGAAAAATTTTTGCAACAAAATAAATAAAGCAGTACTGGAGTATAACCCAAAGTATGAAATAAATATCCATGAGTCCATACTAACATAAATAAACATGAGATAAATAAATAAATAAATAAATAAATGGGACATATAAGACAAATCTCCACTGCAGAATAAATCTCCACTCCTCAGGTATGGGCTGCACATACAGAGACTTCCTTCCATAGACTTGAGTATGGAAATGGGGGGAAAGACTGACTTTGCAATATGGAGTGACCTGACAGACACCACTTCAACTAGGGAATCAAGGTTAAGACACACAGTGATGTCATGTTGATAGATTTTATCCTTGATACAACGTGATGAAAAAGGCAATTTTCCCTGTGTTCTTCTTCACTAAACCCCTTATCTCCAGTATTATCAGGAGAAAATAATAATAGACAAATCCCAATTGAAGATTCTATAAAATACCTCACCAGTACTCCTTAAAATGTTCAAGTACTGCTTGAAAATATAGAAGAAATGTAGTATCAAATATATGAAAACTCTGTACTATCTTTTTGATTTTTCTTTAAACTTAAAACTATCCTAAAATAGAATATTATTTTTAAAAATTGAGATGAAAGTAGATACTAGTCAAAAAACTGATGTATGGGCAGTGAGAGGAGTCTAGTCCACAGGACATATGAGACACTAGGAGGAGGTCAGGTCAGCACCTGAAGTTTCTTGTTAGAGAAATAAATGACCTATTACCTAGCATTATTGGTGAAATATATTGGTCCTAATTCTAAGGTAAGTCATCAATCAATCTAGCTATAGTTTGTTTTTGTCTCTGCAGATAAGCAAAGCAAAGTTCTAAGCCAGACCACACATAATAGAAACTCAATTTTCATTTGTGGTAAAACAGCAGAAATTCCACAGTCCTTTCCCATGGCAGCATCAAACTTTGTTAAGGGGGCAAAGCAAATATATTCAGAAATAAAGTAATCAAGGAAGCCAATAATAGTGTCAATTTATAGAACGTCTCCTCTCATGTGTCGAGAAGAATTTTAGCTGCTTTGCATACCAAATCAAATATCAGTTTTGTAAACTGGATATTATTATTCTTATTTTAGCTGTAACTGGGACCCAGAAGGATTAAGCAATCTGTGTTCAAGTTTGTGTCTTCACGTGTTTTTTGGCTGCATAAATGTCTTCTTTTGAGAAGTGTCTGTTCATGTCCTTTGCCCACTTTTTGATGGGGTTGTTTGTTTTTTTCTTGTAAATTTGTTTGAGTTCATTGCAGATTCTGGATATTAGCCCTTTGTCAGATGAGTAGGTTGCGAAAATTTTCTCCCATTTTGTAGGTTGCCTGTTCACTCTGATGGTAGTTTCTTTTGCTGTGCAGAAGCTCTTTAGTTTAATTAGATCCCATTTGTCAATTTTGGCTTTTGTTGCCATTGCTTTTGGTGTTTTGGACATGAAGTCCTTGACCATGCCTATGTCCTGAATGGTGATGCCTAGGTTTTCTTCTAGGGTTTTTATGGTTTTAGGTCTAACGTTTAAGTCTTTAATCCATCTTGAATTGATTTTTGTATAAGGTGTAAGGAAGGGATCCAGTTTCAGCTTTCTACATATGGCTAGCCAGTTTTCCCAGCACCATTTATTAAATAGGGAATCCTTTCCCCATTGCTTGTTTTTCTCAGGTTTGTCAAAGATCAGATAGTTGTAGATAAGTGGCGTTATTTCTGAGGGCTCTGTTCTGTTCCATTGATCTATATTTCTGTTTTGGTACCAGTACCATGCTGTTTTGGTTACTGTAGCCTTGTAGTATAGTTTGAAGTCAGGTAGTGTGATGCCTCCAGCTTTGTTCTTTTGGCTTAGGATTGACTTGGCGATGCGGGCTCTTTTTTGGTTCCATATGAACTTTAAAGTAGTTTTTTCCAATTCTGTGAAGAAAGTCATTGGTAGCTTAATGGGGATGTTATTGAATCTGTAAATTACCTTGGGCAGTATGGCCATTTTCACGACATTGATTCTTCCTACCCATGAGCATGGAATGTTCTTCCATTTGTTTGTATCCTCTTTTATTTCCTTGAGCAGTGGTTTATAGTTCTCCTTGAAGAGGTCCTTCACGTCCCTTGTAAGTTGGATTCCTAGGTATTTTATTCTCTTTGAAACAATTGTGAATGGGAGTTCACTCATGATTTGGCTCTCTGTTTGTCTGTTATCGGTGTATAAGAATGCTTGTGATTTTTGTACATTGATTTTGTATCCTGAGACTTTGCTGAAGTTGCTTATCAGCTTAAGGAGATTTTGGGCTGAGACAATGGGGTTTTCTAGATATACAATCATGTCGTCTGCAAACAGGGACAATTTGACTTCCTCTTTTCCTAATTGAATACCCTTTATTTCTTTCTCCTGCCTAATTGCCCTGGCCAGAACTTCCAACACTATGTTGAATAGGAGTGGTGAGAGAGGACATCCCTGTCTTGTGCCAGTTTTCAAAGGGAATGCTTCCAGTTTTTGCCCATTCAGTATGATATTGGCTGTGGGTTTGTCATAGATCATCATCACTGGCCATCAGAGAAATGCAAATCAAAACCACAATGAGATACCATCTCACACCAGTTAGAATGGCAATCATTAAAAAGTCAGGAAACAACAGGTGCTGGAGAGGATGTGGAGAAATAGGAACACTTTTACACTGTTGGTGGGACTGGGACTGTAAACTAGTTCAACCATTGTGGAAGTCAGTGTGGCGATTCCTCAGGGATCTAGAACTAGAAATACCATTTGACCCAGCCATCCCATTACTGGGTATATACCCAAAGGACTATAAATCTTGCTTCTATAAAGACACATGCACACGTATGTTTATTGCGGCATTATTCACAATAGCAAAGACTTGGAACCAACCCAAATGTCCAACAATGATAGACTGGATTAAGAAAATGTGGCACATATACACCATGGAATACTATGCAGCCATAAAAAATGATGAGTTCATGTCCTTTGTAGGGACATGGATGAAATTGGAAATCATCATTCTCAGTAAACTATCGCAAGAACAAAAAACCAAACACCGCATATTCTCACTCATAGGTGGGAATTGAACAATGAGATCACATGGACTCAGGAAGGGGAATATCACACTCTGGGGACTGTGGTGGGGTGGGGGGAGGGGGGAGGGATAGCATTGGGAGATATACCTAATGCTAGATGACCAGTTAGTGGGTGCAGCACACCAGCATGGCATATGTATACATATGTAACTAACCTGCACAATGTGCACATGTACCCTAAAACTTAAAGTATAATAAAAAATAAAATAAAATAAAATAAAATAAAGTCTGTGTCTTCACAAGGGCTAAGTGGCAAACTTGATGTGTGAACCCAGGAAGCAGGAGAAACCTTGCTCTTAATCATCAGTGTACCTATATAAAATTAACCGCCCACACAAAATTGACTGTCAAATAAGGGACACAGAAAACAAATGCTTTGAGAATTATGCTGTGAAAGTGCTTTTTTCTTATATAGGGAAATGTGAGCATTATCTATTTGGTAAGCAGACAAAAATTTCTAATATAGGTTCAAAGGCTACTTAAAGTTCTACTTTGTTCTTGCTCTTGAAGAGGCACAAAGATGAGATCTTGAACAGCTAGAAGTTGATAATCAATTTTGGATTGCTATGAACCACTAGATTCAATGGCTCTACTTTCCTTTACTTCTTAATGTGTTCAAGGATAAATTTAAATGATCTATGACAAATGCTGGCATAAATTCTCCAGAAACTATTCAGTTATTCCAAAATTTCTTACCTCTAGAGCATAGGTTTCCTCACCTCACTTCCCTCTCTTATTGTCATCTACCAACTATTATATTTATTTGTCTTTATCGCTCGCCATTAGAAAAACACAACAAAATAGAACTAGTTTGTTGAATTCTCTTCTGATTTCCATATGGTTGATGTGTCTGAGAATTCCAGTAAATTAATAGATATATGCTGCTAAACAGCTACTTTGCTTTGCCCCTACAAGATGATACTAGGATCCATGTAGAAAGTTGTATATAATTTACACATTATCCATCAGATTTTTAAAATATTTCTTCTCATCAATCGTAATTTAAATTATTGAATCCTTATTGAAAATAATGATAAATTATAAGAGCAACAACTACATAATAAGAAACAAAATATGGCTGCATGTTTGTACTTTATGGCGTATTGCTCTTAGGTTGTGAGCTCTACAGCATCTTCAAGTTAGGTTTTAAAACTAGTTTTAACAGTGCTCTTTGTAAACGCAGCAAGACTAAAGGCAATTCAGTTATGTGGAATATTTTGTGCTGTTTAACATTATATTTTTCGATGAATTAAAGTGCCATAAAATAAATCATTAAAGATATTTGGAAACCGAACCATACAACAAATAATGAAGAACTAAGGGCAGGTCTATTTAGTCTGGAAAAGCGAAAATGTAGGAGAGCACTAACAGCCTTCTTTAAACATTTGAATGCCACTTCCATTTACTTCAATCTGTATGCAAATTATAATTATCTGTGAGACTCATTCTCTGCTTCCGTGTTAGGCCTTCATACTCCTGCCTGCACTGAAGATAGCTGGTCTAGTCAGAAGTCTTTTCCTCTTTGAAGGCTTTTTTGATATCCAACCTCACTGGTGAGTCAGGAGTTCTTTTATTCAGCTTCTGTAAGATCTTTGGCTGTACTTTCTTCATAGGATTAATCGTATTGGCTGACTGTGTATTTGACTTGTTCAGTTTTCAAGGGTAGAGATTTGTAATGTGCATTTCTATATTCAAGATCTGATAGAAACTTTGGCTATTAGCTACATGATGGATGAATGAGCAGATGAATGCATAAATGAATAGCATAAAGAAAGAAGAGTAGACATACTCTCTGTTGCTTTTATAAGCCTTTCACTGGCTAGAATTTATAGAGATGCAGAATTAGGGTCAAATAAAAACAGTATGACTTTCAGAACTGACAAGCAGGGTACAGACATCTTTACAAGGCATTAAGCTGATAGCCTTTAGCATTTGCACATAAAATCCATGTCTGAGGAGCTCTGGAAAGGATCACTGCATTTGGAGGAATTCGGAGTAGCTACTCTCCAAAATACCTTTTAGTTACTTGTGAGTCAATTCTTATTTAGCAGGACATTTTGATAAATGTCTGTATCATATGAACTTACACATTTTGAGTAAATGTATCTCACATTCTAATTTTCATCTATATTCAAGTAGTTATTTTAAATATAAAAAGGATAACTCTCTGCCAATCACATATCTGTCAGCTTCTTTTTAAAAAATTAATGTAAAGTACACTATATAAAATCAAATTAAACTTTTAAAAATTTATCTTCAACTTAATTGAAAGTACTTAATTATACCTTTGCCGCTGTTCTGAATATCAGAATATTCTTACATAAGTCATGTTGATGCTGCGTCTTAACTATGAAGGAAACACCATCATCTCCCTCACCAGGGTAACTGGTGAATTGTCTGATTAATTTTTTTAAAGTTATTCAAAATGTGCTATGATATGTAAAATGCAAAGGCATCAATACTATTACAGTCCTGTTGAGATACACCATTAAAGTCCTTCTTAACATGTCTCAACTTTTTAAAGTGAAATATGTTTTCAGAATAGATTAATAAGTTCTAAGAATTTAACAACAATAACAAAAAACTAGTATCAATAAACTATTGTCCATGGAGAGATAACAGTAGTGAAATCATGACATCAAATAATATGACAGGATTACCTAAAACTTTAATTAGCTACCACACCATACTTAATTTTATTTAAAAATAAATAACAGAAACATAGACGGGAAATATTGAAATCACATGCTGCTTCAGAACTCTAATGTAAATGTGATTTGATCTATAAATAAACAGAGATAAAGAAATTTAAATGCCATTAAACATATTAGTTGACATTAATTTGATGTAAGTTTCATATTGGCATGTGAAATTGCAAATAGCAACAATTTTTCACCCTGAAAATGTTTATTTTAATGCCATAAAATATAACAAAAATAAGTTACTTTATTACAAATTTACATAAGAAATATGCCCTGTTATTTTTGTTTTTCAGAAAACATGATTTTCTTTAGAAAATTTAGCATTATATCTAAATTCAGAACAATAAGGGAGGTTCCCAAGCATATTATGGTCTTTAAAATTGTTCTGAAAATAGAGAGGATAATAGTACAGTGCCCACCTGAGAACACCTACTAAATGAATATGAGTTTATAAAGAGAAAAAAGAGAAATTAAGATTTTATCTTACTGGATTAAGAAATTAAAATTTCAGCTTACCAATATAGATATATTATATGTAAAATACAACCACACCTCTCCTGTTCCATTAACTTGTGTTCATGAAGCACTTGTCATGTGACACGCAGGATTTAAAACACATTAGTCTATTTAATCTGTTTTGTTTGTTTGTTTTTTGTTTTTTGAGACGGAGTCTCCCTCTGTAGCCCAGGCTGGAGTGCAGTGGTACAATCTTGGCTCACTGCTACCTCCGCTTCCCGGGTTCAAGTGATTTTCCTGCCTCCGCCTCCTGTGTAGCTGGGACTACAGGCATGCACCACCATGCCCGGCTAATTTTTGTATTTTCAGTAGAGACTCACACTGTGGACTTTTGTTCCACGTACCACCACATGTGTGTACCAGAAAAACTGAAAGAATTCACAGATCTTTAGAAAGAAATGGCAGGCCACTGTCAATTCTGGAAGACAGCACAAAACTGTGAATTCCCAAAGTGTGAGAAGAGGGGAAACCTGCTTCCAGACACACGTCCCCACCGGGGAACCTGAAAATCCATATTACATGTTAGCCAGGATGGTCTTGATCTCCTGACCTCGTGATCTGCCCACATTGGCCTCCCAAAGTGCTGGGATTACAGGCGTGAGCCACCACGCCCAGCCAATCTATTTAATCTTAAGAATGATTCTATAATTATTCTACTTACACAAGAATAAACTGAAAGTAGAGGCACAAGTAATTGAACATAAGTAAAAAAACTGAGAAATAGAACCTGAGGAATTTATGGTTTCAGTCCTCAGAACAATCCCTTCTAGTCACTCTACTACCTCTCTGTGTAGAAAGCTATTGATAAGAAAGTTTCATTATAACTGCCAGAACAAATAATAGTGGGTCTCCCTATAATTTTAATTTTAGTTAAAATTAATAACAAATTGATAGATTTTTGGCATTCATTTAAGATAAAAAAACACAAGAAGGAACTACATTAATACCAAATGACAAGAAGATAAATAATCTAGAAAATTATAAACTTTCTTGAGCTCATCAGAGAGGTGAGGTCACAGGCTAACCAACTAACCTGAACTCTCTAAAGAAAGAACTTCCCAGAAGAGGCAGGACTTATGCCTATGATATACCTATGGTAGAGGGTGTCTACCATAAAATACAGGTAAATAATGAAACTAGACCCCCACCTCTCATGCTGTACAAAAATCAACTCAAAATAGATTAAAGACCTTAATGTAAAACCCAAAAATATAAAACTACTAGTAGAAAACATAGGGGAAATACTTTAGGACACTGGCCAGGAAAAATATTTTATAAATAAGAACTCAAAAGCATAGTCAGGGAAGATGGTGGATAGTAGACAAGGCTGGCATGCAGCTCCCACTTGGACAAACAGAAAAGTGTGTAGAGACTCACACCGTGGACTTTTGCTCCAAGAACAACCAAAGGTGTGTACTAGGAAAACTGAAAGAATTCACAGATCTTTAGAAAGAAATGGCAGGCCACTGCCAATTCTGAAAGACAGGCACAAAATATGTGAATTCCCAAAGTGTGAGAAGGGGGGAAACCTGCTTCCAGACACACGTCTCCACCAGGGAACCTGAAAGTCCATATTACAGGAGAAGAACTTAACCGTACCTGGAGCTGAAACAGATTTACTGTGAAATGTAAAATTAGAAGCGGCAGTGGGAAGAGCCTTGTAAGAACTCCATTTCTCCAGCTGGAGCCCAGGGAAGCCATTCCTGATTATATCTCAAAGTGACCCTCGGGTAAGGCAGCTGGTGAAATTTGGGAGGGGACACAGGGTGAAAGAGCTTCCAACAGAAGTTTGTAATAGTTTTGACTGATGCAAACTCTCTAGAGCAGAATCTAAGGGGAGCAAGAACTGCTGCAGAAAGAAAAGCAGGACTCGCCTCCAACAGTATGAGCAGACAAGGAGGGGCATAGCCTGAAAGCTGTGCTTGCTTTTTCAGCAAGTAAAGTTACAGCCTGAGGTTAGGTCTGAGTCCAGCACACAAGCTGCCTGGAGATAAACTGGGTGCTGTTAGCAGGGCACGATGGGAGTGATACTGGCCTCGCCAACTGCATGGAAGCTGGGTGAAGCCTATCGCTACTGGCTTTCCCCCACTTCCCTGGCAACAGAAGCAGCCATAATCCCCTCTGGAACGTAACCCCATTAGCCTGAGAACTACCTGCAAGCCCCAACAGTGGCTGTGGCAAGCTGCACCCAAGGAGAGTCTGAGTTCAGACCTGACTAACCCTGTTCCCCTGTGATGGTATTTTTCTACCCACCCCAATAGTCAATCACAAAAGACCAACTCTGGGGAACTTTATGACCTCATTCATCACCTGAGAAACCCAAATACTAATCCTGGCCGTCTTAAGGCAAGCTTATGTCCCCCTTCTATTATTGCAGCTGATGCTCTCTTGAAATTGCCACCTCCTGGCTGGAAGCCAACCAACTTAAAACATTATAGCAACTCATGACAGAATAAGTCTGCTCCAAGAAAGAGGAAAATAACAGCTTATTCCACTGCCCACAACATCATGGCTAACCAGTGGTCCTAAGTCTGTCCATGTGACAACTTCACAGCTAGCATAACCAGCATTCAAGAAAGTTAGCACACTAAACATATCTACAACCAAGGACTCTCACAGAGTCTACTTCACATCCCTGCCACCTCCCTGGAGCAAATGCTGGTATTCACATCTGGGAGATCTGAAGATAGATTGCATCACAGGACTCTTTGAAGACATTCCCAGCAGCAGGCCAGAGCATAGTAGCCCTGCTGCGTGGCTAGACCTAGAAGGGCAACAATTACTGCAGTCTGGCTTGCAGGAAGCCCTATCCCTAGGGGGAGTGGGAGTGCACCACATTAAGGGACCATCCCGTGGGACAAAAGAATTTGAACAGCAACCCTTGAGTTCCAGATTTTTCCACTAAAATAGTCTACCCAAATGAGAAGGAATCAGAAGAGTAATTCTGGTATTATGACAAAACAAGGTTCTATAACACCCCCACAAAAGACCAAACTAGATCCCTAGAACTGGATCCAAACCAGGAAGAAATCACTGAATTGCCAGGTAAAAAAATTCATAAAGTTGATTATTAAACAACTCAAGGAGATACAAGAGAAAAATGAAAACCAACTTAAATAAATTTTGAAAAATACAGAATATGGATGAAAATGCTCCAGAAAAATAGATACCATAAAGAAAAAAAAATCACAATGCCTGGAATGAAAGACACACTTACAGAAATACAAAAAAAAAATGCATTGGAAATTGTCAACAATATAATTGAACAAATAGAAGAGAGAACTTCAGAGCTGGAAGAAAAGGCTTTTAAATTAACCAAATAATAGAAAGATAAAGAGAAAAGAATTTAAAAAATGAACAAAGCCTCCAGGAAATTTGAGGTTAGATTAAATGGACAAACCTAAGAAAAATTAGTATTCCTGAGGAAGAAGAGAAATCTAAAAGTTTGGAAAACATATTTGAGGGTATACTCAAGGAAAACTTCCGGGCCCTCACTTGAGATCTAGAAACCCAAATCAAAGAAGCTCAAAGAATACCTGGGAAATTCATCAAAAAAAGATCATCACCCAGGCACACAGTCATCTGATTATCTAAAGTCAAGACAAAGGGAAGAATCTTAAGAGCTGTGAGGCAAAAGCATTAGGTAACCTATAAGGAAAAACCTATCATATTAACAGCAGATTTCTCAGCAGAAACCCTACAAGCCAGGGGTCCTATCTTTAGCATCCTCAAGCAACATAATTGCCAGCCAAAAATTTTGTATCCAGACAAACTTAACTTCGTAAATGAAGGAGAGATAGTCTTACTCAGACAAACAAATACTGAGAGCATTCACCACTACCAAGCCAGCACTACAAGAAATGCTAAAAGGAGTTCTAAATCTTGAAACTGGGGGTTTTCTCTTTGTTTGAATCCCCCCTCCCTCTGTCTCTGTCAGAGGGAGCTGTTTTCTCCTTCCTTCCTCCCTTCCTTCTTTCTTGGCTAGAGGGAGCTGTTTTCTCCTTCCTTCCTCCCTTCCTTCTTTCTTGGCTATTAAACTTTTTGATCCTTAAAAGGAAAAAACAAAAAAATCTTGAAACAAAACCTCAAAATACTCCAAAATAGAACGTCCTTAAAGCATAAATCTCACAGAGTATATAAAACAATAACACACACACACACACACACACACACACACACACACACACACACAGAGTACTCAGGCAAAAATTGGCATGATGAATAAAATAGTACCTCACATCTCAATACTAACATTGAAATGTTCCACTTAAAAAATACAGAATGGTAGAATGAAAAAAATCCACCAACCAAGAATCTGTTGTCTTCAAGAGACTCACTTAATACATAAGGTAAAAGGATACAAAAAGATATTCCATGCAAATAGACACCAAAAGCAAGCAGGAGTAGCTAGCTATTCTTTTTTTTTTTTTTTTTTTTTTTTTTTTTTGAGACAGAGTTGCACTCTGTCTCCCAGACTGGAGTGCAGTGGTGCAATCTCCACTCACTGCAACCTCCACCTCCCGGGTTTAAGAGATTCTTCTGCCTCAGCTGCCCAAGCAGCTGGGGTTATAGGCACATGTCACCACACCTGGCTAATTTTTGTATTTTTAGTAGAGACTGGGTTTCACCATATTGGCCAGGATGGTCTCGATTTCCTGATCTCTTACTGTGCCTGCCTCGGCCTCCCAAAGTGCTGGGATTAGAGGTATGAGCCACCCCACCTGGCAGGAGTAGCTAGGTATTCTTATATTAGCAAAATAGACTTTAAAGCAAACACCGTTAAGAAAGACAAAGAGTGACATTACATAATAATAAAAAAAAAAGACCAACAGGAAAATATCTCAATAATAAATATACTTGAACCTAACATGAAAACTCCCATATTTATAAAACAATTATTATGAGACATGAGAAGAGATAGATGGCAACAAAATAATAATGAGGGATTTCAATACTCCACTGACAACACTAGAGAGGTCATCAAGACAGAAAGTCAACAAAGAAACAATGGACTTGAACTATACCCTAGAACAAATAAATTTAACAGATATTTATGGAACATTCTACCCAACAACTGCAGAATATACATTATTTTCATCAGCAGATGGAATATTCTAAAAGATAGACCATATGATAAGCCACAAAACAAGTCTCAATAAATTTAAGAAAGTCAATATTATATCAAGTACCTTCTCAAACCACAGTGAAATAAAATTAAAAAAAAATAGTTCCAAAAGGAACCCTCAAAACTATGCAAATACATGGAAATTAAATGTTCTGCTCTTGAATAATTTTTGGGTCAACAATAAAATCAAGATGGAAATTAAAACATTCTTTGAATTAAACAATAATAGTAACACAACTTATGAAAACCTCTGAAACATAGCAAAAGCAGTGTAAGAGGAAAGCTCATAGTATTAAATGCCTACATTAAAAAGTCTGAAAGAGCACACATAGAAATTCTAAGATCACACCTTATGGAACTACAGAAACAAGAACAAACTTAACCTAAATCCAGCAGAAGAAAATAAATAACCAAGGTCAGATCAGAGTTAAATAAAATTTAAACAAAAATATACAAAAAGTAAATAAAACAAAAAGCTGTATTTTTGAAAAGAGAAGCAAAATTGATAGACTATTAGCAAGATTAACCAAGAAAAGAGAACATGCAAATAAGCTTAATTCGAAACAAAACAGGAGATATTAAAACTGATACCACAGAAATACAAGATAGTTCAAGGCTACTGTGAACACGTTTTCACACACAAACTAGAAAATTTGGAAGAGATGGATAAATTCCTGGAAATACACAACCCTTCTATATTAAATCACACACAAACTAGAAAATTTGGAAGAGATGGATAAATTCCTGGAAATACACAACCCTTCTATATTAAATCACGAAGAAATAAAAACTCAGAACAGATTAATAACAAGTAGTGAGATTGAAACTGTAATAAAAAATTGCCAAAAAAAGAAGTCCAGGACCAGATGGATTCATAGCTGAATTATATCAGGCATTCAAAGAATAATTTTTACCAATCTTATTGAAACTATTTCAGAAGATAGAGAAAGAGGAAATCCTCCATAAATCATTCCATGATGCTAGTATCACCTTAATACCAAGGCCAGGAAATAACATAACAAAAAAAGAAAACTATAGACCAATATCCCTGAACATAAATGGAAAAATCCTCAGCAAAATACTAGGTAACAGAATTCAACAGCCTATCAAAAAGATAATACACCATAATCAATTTGGGCTTAAATCAGTGATGCAGGGATGGTTTAACATATGCAAGTCTATAATGTGATGCATCACATTATAGAAGTAAAAACAAAAATCATGTGATTACCTCAATAGATGCAGAAAAAGCATTTGACAATCCAGCATCCCTTTATGATTAAAACTCTCAGCAAAATCAGCATAGAAAGGGCATAGAAAGTAATAAAATTATCTATTACAAACCCACAGCCAACATTATACTTAACCAGGAAAAGTTGAAAGCATTCCCCCTGAGAACTGGAACAAGACAAGGATGTGTACTTTCGCCCCTTCTATTCTACATAGTACTGGAAGTGCTAGTCAGAGCAATCAGACAACAGACAGAAATAAAGGGCATCCAAATGGTAAAGAGGAAGTCAAACTGTTGCTGTTCACTGATGATATGATTGTAAACCTAGGAAGCCCTAAAGACTCATCCAAAAAGCTCCTGGATCTGAAAAATGAATTCAGTAACGTTTCAGGATATGGAATCAATGTAAACAAACTAGTAGCACTGCTATACACCAACAATGACAAATCTGAGAATCAATTCAAGAACTCAAGCCCTTTTACAACAGCTGCAAAAAATAAAATAAAATACTTAGGAATATACCTAAACACGGAGGTGAAAGACCTCTAAAAGGAAAACTGCAAAAGATTGCTGAAAGGAATCATAGATGACACAAAGAAACAAATGGAAACAATCCCATGCTCATGAATGGATAGAATCAATATTGTGAAAATGACCATACTGCCAAAAGCAATCTACAAATTAAATTCAATTCCCACAAAAACACTATCATCATTCTTCACAGAACTAGAAAAAACAATCCTAAAATTCATGTGCAACCAAAAAAAAAAAAAAAAGAGTCTGCATAGCCAAAGCAAGACTAAGCAAAAATAACAAATCTGTTGGCATCACATTACCCACTTCAAACTATATTACAAGGCTACAGTTACCAAAACAGCATGATATTGGTACAAAAATCGGCACATAGACCAATGGAACAGAATAGAGAACACAGAAATAAAGCCAAATTTTTACAGCCAACTTATCTTTGAAAAAGCAAACAAAAACATAAAGTGGGAAAGGACGCCCTATTCAACAAATGGTGCTGGGATAATTGGCAAGCCACATGTAGAAGAATGAAACTGGATCCTCATCTCTCACATTATACAAAAACCAACCCCAAGATGGATCAAAGACTTAAATCTCAGACCTGGAGTCGTAAAAATATCTAAAAGATAACAACAGAAAAGCTCTTCCAGACATTGGCAAGTCTTCACGACTTCATGACCAAGAATCCAAAAGCAAATGCAACAAAAACAAAGATAAATAGATGGCACCTACTTAACTAAAAAGCTTCTGCACAGCCAAAGAAACAATCAGCAGAGTAAAGAGACAACCTATAGTGTGGAAGAAAATACTTGCAAACAGTGCATCTGACAAAGAACTAATATCCACAATCCATAAGGAATTCAAACACATTGCCCAGAAAAAAAATAATTCCATCAAAAATGGGCAAAGGGCCAGGTGTGGTGTCTCATGCCTTTAATCCCAGCACTTTGGGAGGCCGAGGCAGGTGGATCACGAGGTCAAGAGATCAAGATCATCCTGGCCAACATGGTGAAACCCTGTCTCTACTAAGAATACAAAAATTAGCTGGTAGTGGTGGCACATGCCTGTAGTCCCAGCTACTCAGGAGGCTGAGGCAGGAGAATTGCTTGAACACAGGAGGGGGAGGTTGCAGTGAGCCAAGATTGCGCCATTGCACTCTAGCCTGGTGACAGAGTGAGACTCCATCTCAAAAAAAAAAAAAAAGACAGAAAAGAAAATGGGCAAAGGACATGAACAGACATTCTCAAAAGAAGATATACAAATGGCCAACAAACATAGGAAAACAATGCTCAACATCACTAACTGTCAGGGAAATGCAAATTAAAAGTACAATGAGACACCACCTTACTTACTCCTGCAAGTAGGGCAAGAATGGCCATAATTTAAAAAATCAAAAATAGCTGATGTCATAGATGTGGTGAAAAGGAAACACTTTTACACTGCTGGCGAGAATGTAAACTAGTACAAACAGTATAGAAAACAGTATGGAGATTCCTTAAAGAACTAAAAGTAGAACTGTCATTTGATCCAGCAATCCCACTACTGGGTATCTTCTGCTGTACAGGGCAGAAGGTAGAAACTTCTCTGTCAACTTTGTTGTGCCTCAGTCTTAGGTAGGCCCTGTGTCTCATGGTGCCTGGGGTAAGGCTTTCTCAGTTACCCTGCCCCTGCTGAAGTAGCCAAATGTTGCCTTGTGCCTTTGGAGGCTCAGTGATAAAGGCTCTTTATCATTAATGTCTTTCAGTAATGTAAAGACATTATTGTTTATTGAAAGATGTGTAGAAGACAAAACATACCATTATAGATCAATTCACGTTCTACTTAATTAAATCCTAAAGGTATTCTTGTATTTTGGCTACAAAATTATTGTAAATTGTTTAAATTAAAATAAGGAAAATATTACTTTTACCCAATCAATCTTGATGAATTTTTCCACTTCCACCCTAAATTCTGATTATAGAAATAAACTTTATGCTAAGTTTGAAATTATTTTTTACTTTCCAGCTACACATCAAACTCTATTTTGCATCTTATTACTTTCAGAAATAGAGTTTTCTAACAATTATGAATAATCCCTGCTTTACTTGGTGTTACACTCTATAAAATGTCAAGGGTGTGCTTGTTCACATCTCAGTTTCTCCTTAGGCAAAATCTTAAAGTCAACTACTCCAAATTGAATCTTGTGCTGTGCATTTACTTATGACATTTGCCATATTTTTGGACCCTGTCTGTATTATGATCTATAAAAAGGATCAAGGAGTCCTTCCAGAAATAAGAAACGAACAACTAGAATATATATCGTCCCCAGTGGGATGATCGTCAATGTGTGGTACTCTGTGAACGGTGAGAGGCTGGGCACCCACGTGGACCATACAGCAGCTGTGTGCTGCATGGACAGTGACTGGGACACCAAGCATGTCCTCCCTGGCTCAGCTGACAACAGCTGTCGTCTCTGGGACAGGGAAGCAGTTGGCCCTACTCAAAACTGATTTAGCTGTCCAGACCTGTGGCAAGGACTTTGGGAACAATATCACTATATTCTCTACAGACAAGTAGATGGGCTACCAGTGCTTTGTGAGCTTCTTTTATCTGCAGGACCTAAGGCAGATTGACAGCAATGAGACATACATGAAAATCCTTTACAATGACTATAATATCACTAGTGCTTTTTGAGGACCCCCCAGGGGAGTGCATCATCACAGACCATAAGAGTGGAGTGTCCAACCAGTATAATGCCACATCTGGAGAGGTATTGGTGAGTGTTAAATAGCACTCCCAGAAGATCAGTAACATCAAGTTATCCAAGGACATAATCATGTTTGTCACTGCAACCAAGGACAACACAGCCAAGTTCTTTGATTCTACAACTCTTGAACATCAAGAGACTTTCTGGACAGAACATCTCATCAACTCAGACGCCCTTTCCCCAGTTATAATGACCATGTGATACTGGGTGACAGAGAGAAAGCCATGGATGTAACCACAACCTCCAACAGGACTGGCAGGTTTGAGCCCAGGTTCTTCCATTTGGCCTTTGAAAAATAGTTTGGAAGAGTCAAGAGTTACTTCACAACTGTCAACAGGGTTGCCTTCCCTTCAAATGGCAAGAGTTACAGCAGCGGCGGTGAAGATGGTTATGTCCATATTCACTGTTTAGGCCCACAGTACTTGGAATTTGAGCTTGAGGATTAAGAAGCTGGATCTCCTCGGGAGACCGAGGTGGGTGGATCACGAGTTCAGGAGATCAAGACCATCCTGGCTAACACAGTGAAACCCCGTCTCTACTAAAAATACAAAAAATTAGCCAGGCAAGGTGGTGGGCACCTGTAGTCCCAGCTACTTGGGAGGCTGAGGCAGGAGAATGGCATGAACCCAAGAGGCAGAGCTTGCAGTGAGCCGAGATGACGCCACTGCACTCCAGCCTGGGCAATAGAGCAAGACTCTGACTCAAAAAAAAAAAAAAAAAAAAAAAAAAAAGAAGCTGGATCTACATACAGACCAGGAAGTCATCTTAAGAAAGTTTTGAACCCTAAGAAATAAATTAGTTTGGTAATAAAAAGTGATGAAATTTATAGTGCTTTTCATTTTGGACATGGGACTGGTTATAAAAGTATATGATATAAGAAAAAATCTGTCATCTCTATATTTGAAAACAAATTTATTCTGCTCAATTGCAAGTAAACGCAAAAGCTCAGTAATTACTGTGCAAACACATGTTTATGTCTCATCTTCATCCAATTATTTTCTCTTGATTTATGATCCCCATACCTTGTATATATTTCAGGAAATTATGAGTATAAAAACCTACATAACCTGAAATTTTTTAAACTGGAAAATATCAAAAATTGCAATTTTTCTTTGTTTTCCTTTTACAGCATCAATACATCTTCATGATTAAATCTGTGTTCAAACTAATTACCTAACAAAGTTTGTAGAGTATCTCTGGAATACTCTGGAATATTTTGCATAGCTATCTTAAGTTCCTGTCTTTAAAAACAAATTTTGAGAATTTTAAATAATTATTACTAACATTTAAATGTTTTATTTTTCAGTGAGTGTGGTTGTTAACAACAGGAAAATGGTAAAGAGTTTAAAATAAGAAGCAAAGTGATCAGGCACAGTAGCTCATGCCCATAATCCCAGCATTTCAGGAAGCTAAAGCAGGAGGATCACTTGATCTCAGGAGTTCCAAACCAGCCTGGGCAACAAGGGAGACCCCCATCTCTACACAAAATTTAAAAATCAGCTGTGCAGGAGGTGCATGCCTGTTGTCTCAGCTACCAGGAAAGCTGAGGTAGGAGGGTCACTTGAGCCTGGGAGTTTGAGACTGCAGTGAGCTGTGACTGAGCACTGCACTCCAACATGAGTAAGCCCTGACTCATAAATAAATACATAAATAAGAATTAAAAGGACACAAGTTTTATTAAATAGGAAAAGCAAGTCTTAAAGGATTTACTACTTTTTCTTTACATTATATATTTCTAACAAAGAACTGAAAGGAAATATATAGCGGTCTTCAGGAATGCTGATTTACATTTTATTTACATAGCACATCATAGTACTGCAAATGCTTGTAGAATAATTTTTTTAAGTGAATGAAAGTGTCAAAAGTGTTATATTGGCACAAAATTGTTCTGAGTTAACTCTGCCCTAAATTTTCTGAACACACACTGAATACCACTGAAAATGCTGCAGTCTCCTAAAGCAGCTTGCTGTAAACTCTAATTAGAATATACCTCCTGAGATTTACTTTAATATGATTTTTCATGACCACTTGATAGACAACTGTAAGAACTGTGATTGCCCTTTCATAATAACACTCCTTCAAACTCATGGTCATAAGTAGAGTCATGGAAATACTGCATACATTGCAAAAAATGTATAGAAATATTAATTTCCCCAAATATTTGGAAGTATGAATTCTCTTGAAAAGAAAAGGGAACTGAACTTGAGGCTTCTGTTTAACCAATGATTGATATACTGGTCAAGATTTTCACCAGCCTTTATGACTGAAAGATTGAACACTGATTTGTAAGATGCCACCTATGTGTCTCTCAGTGGGTGCCTACAACAGCTTACTTTGTGTTTCAGAGTTATATCTTTTTCAGATTAACTGGATTATTCAGATTAACTAGATTTTTGAGATTATCTAGAACACGGTCTTCAAATCAATGTGAGAAGCTGAAGCACATTCACTTGCCAATCAGGTATCAAAAGAACCAGCAGATTATAAGCAGCAAAACGTCTGATAACAGCAAAAGCTATCAGAAAAAAAGAATATGAAATAAATTATAAACACTTAAAGACCATAAAGTAGACACCATTGTTGATGGTGACATGGCATCCTGGTTTCACAGCCCTGATTAGCAATTCACGTCTCTAATAGAAGAACCAAACCATCAATATATGTTCTATATACTACTTTTAAAGAGACATGGAGGTACATAATTCACTTTAGATAGACTTAAATTAAATTACAATTGTAAAAGGTCTATAAATATTTTGAATTAGGAAAAATTATATTTATGTAGAAAATTTACTTTATGTATTAAAATTTATAATTTCAGAAAAAATTCTGTATACAATTTCATCTTAATGTTTATAGTAGTTACACTTCAACAAGCTATGCTTTAACAATTTCTGATGTTTAAAGATAAAGACATTTTCAAAAATCTTATAATCAAGCTGACTAAAAATTTTCTCATGTCAAATCGCTTTTACACATACTGTCTCTTTGATACAGTATGAAACTATTCAAACATATTTCCCATAGGTATGCTCCAAAAGTTAATCACTACTTTCATAAAACTCAATATATTAATAACTTGCCTATCTTAAGTTTCCTGAGCCTAGAATGTGTTGCATTTTTAAGAAAACTTACTTTAGTATGCTTCAATAATTTGTTCTTGCAGTAATATGCAATCCTTGGCTTATAAGTGTAATTTTTCCATTTCTTCTATAAATGAAGTTCTCCTCTAAAACAAACTCATTAGTAGCAATAGATATCAGAATGAAGTTTTTCATGTAATAAACACTTTTAATAAAGAGCAGAAGCATTCAACACCCCGAAAAAATTTCTCTATATCAAGCTTTCCTCCCTGAAATGCAAAGCATCTTAAATGTTTTTTTCTATTTTACTTTAGCATTACATTATATACTCATTTATTTAATTCAAATAAAATGTCACTTGTGCCTGCATTCTGAAAATACCCATTTGCTCTAATCAATTATTTAATATTTATTATATTCTTCAAAAACCATTATAGGTTCAATTTTTGTACAGCAAATAAATAAAATGATATTTTAAATTTTGAAAGCATGCCAAGTACATAAAATGGTCCCAGTTTATTTATTTCTTCCACTAATATTTCTATATGCTACAGTAACCATAATATGAGTGTTTTTTTTTTTTCTCAAAAACATCTTAAGACCTAGCAATATACTGCTTCATATATCCCCTGAAAACCTCTCATTCCTTTTGGTAATATTTTTAAAATAATTTTTAACACAGTTAAACCTAGATATTTACCCAACTGATTTAAAAACTTATATCCACATAAAAGCTCCCCATGAATATTTACAGCAGCTTTATTCATAATTGCCAAAAACTGAAACAAACAGAGATGGTGTTAAAAAGGTCAATAGACAAATCAGTTGAGATATACCCATATTATGAAAAATTATTCAACATTAAAAAATGTTACCAAGCCACACAAAGACATGGAGGAATCTTAGAAGCCATTCTGAAAGTGCACATGCTGTATAATTTCAATTATATGACATTTTAGACAATTCACTACTAAAAACATTATAAACAGATGATTGCCATGGGTGCATAAGAGGGAGAAAAGATGACTAGGTGAAACACAGGGAAATTTTTAGGGCAAGAAAATTATTCTAAATAATACTGCAATGGTAAATACATGAAACTGAAAAAAATTCATGCCTAATGGATACAAATTTTAAAACGTCATTTACAAGGCCACAGAATCCTAGATAGAATAGAGTTTGTGAGAAAGTATCCTAACTGTATTATAAATGTATGAGACAATCTCACTAAAGGAAATAAGAGAAAAAACTGCTGAGCTAAGTAACTTTGGAAATAAGTAAAGACTTTAAGACTAAAGGGAAAGGAGCTGTGCGTCAGCACTGTATGTACCTGATAAAGTTGTTTCCCATGGGGGTATAAGTGAACAACTCTGATATTGTTATGCATATATACTGGAATTAAACAGTAAGTCGATGACCGGTAGTGGTGAAACGGGAAAAGTTCCCTTGTCCCCTCACAGGGCGTGGTATGCAGGTGTGGCTTGCTTCTTCAGTGTCCCGCTGCTCAAACCTCTAGGGGAGGATACAGATGGACAGACTGTGGGGTTCCGACCCCAACGCAGTGTCTACGGGTGAATGTTTACAGCTGAAGCCCCCAGTGGGTGGTTACAGTGTGCTCTTTTAGCTTAGCTGACAACAGGCAGCTTGCGTTAGCCAGCTCAATTAGACCCCTGCCTTGTCGCAAGGACAAAGGGCTTTCTGTATCCCTGGGTTCTTGCCTTGGTGCACTGGAAGAATTGGATCACACGTGGACTTGGAGAATGAGTACAATATTTTATTGAGGGGAAATAGCTCTCAGTGGGTGGGAGAGGCAGAAGGGAGATGGTTTTCCCCTGGAGCTGGGTAGCTCCGCAGCCCGGGCTCTCCTGTGACTGCCCCACCCGAACTCTGAGACATTTTGCTGGTCAGTGGCCTGCTGGTGTGCCGGTGCCTGCTGATGTGCTCCCCTCGACGTCCAGCCACCTGAATGTCTGTCTGTCTGGGTTTCAGGGGTTTTATAGGCACAGGACGGGGGCATGGCAGGCCAGGGTGGTCTTGGGAAATGCAACATATTGGCAGGAAAACAAGAATGCCTGTCCTCATCTAGGTCCCCTGGTAAGGGCCTGGGGGTGGAGCCTTAGCCAGGGACCATGCCCTCCTCAACCCCGCACTCCCCTTCTCCCTTCCATATCGTTTAAAGGGACTACACCCTTCTGTATCACTTAAAGGGACTACACCCTTCCATTCCGAGCACTTCCCTTCCATGTCAGTGGGAGCCCAGTTTCTCATTATTTGTGTGAGTTGTTACAGATAAGCAAGCAGAGGAGGTTGGAATTCTCCATGTAGATTAGGGTTAGATATATCAGCATAAACATGTTTTGATTAAAACAGATACAAATGAATGCATAGATGAATATTTATAGATACGGATTTATTTTCATGTTATTATACATGCATGTATCTCCTTGCTCTACCTCCTGAGAGGGCTTAGAAGCAAAGTCACCCCAATAGCAAGGACCACACTTAGCACATAGATCCTTCTTTCTAATAGCATTCTCCAGTAAAAGACACCAGGGATCCTTAAGAAACAACTAATTCTAGGACTGAGACATGAAGTACACAAGAGAAGGCTAGAGCATTTTGTAATGCCAGAATGTAAGAGAGTACGAAAAAAACAAAACGAAACAAATTTTAACATTCACCTGCATTTTTTTATTTTATTTTATTTTTTTGAAACGGAGTTTTGCACTTGTTGCCCAGGCTAGAGTGCAGTGGCGTGATCTCGGCTCACCGCAACCTCCACCTCCCAGGTTCAAGCAATTCTCCTTCCTCAGCCTCCTGAGTAGGTGGGATTAGAGGCTTGCACCACCACCTTGCCTGGCTAATTTTGTATTTTAGTAGAGATGGGGTTTCTCCATGTTAGTCAGCTTGGCATCGACCTCCCGACCTCACGTGATCCGCCCACCGCAGTATCCCAAAGTGTTGGGATTACAGGTGTGAGCCACTGTGCCTGGCCCATATTTTTAATTAAAGGAGATTATGAGTTTTTTTCACAACACCCAAATAGTTCATGCAGATAGAATATATCTAATAATGCTGTCAGCTTATTCAATGATCTTGCATTTCAGCTGAGGTTTATTGAATGAATAGCATGCTTTAAACCAATATCTTACCATATGTTGAATATTTATTATTAGTTGAAATGACTATTTTGTTAATGCAGTAAATACGTTTGAACCGTGACAATGATTTACATCAAAATATTCATATTAACTTGGTTAAGACAATCCGAAAGAACATTAGTTACTTCAAGGTGACGTCATTGACAATTACATATTTTCAATCTAGGTACCAATGCCCAAAATGAGCCCCTCTTTTAAAAGCCTAATTTTAAAAAAGTCTGTCAATAGGTTCACGTTGTTTAAAAATTTTTTAATTTTTTTAGTTTTAAAAATATTACTTCACAGAAGATGTTACAAAACTATGCAGTCATGCAGTCATTTATTTTAACCACAGAAACAGTCCAAGGATAACTATCTAAATACTTATGGATACACTCATATATATCAGCACAAAGGCTAGCTAGCCATATATATTTACACTGGTGCACTCCAGAAAAATTCTATATTCTGTGAGGCTGAAAATACAGCAGTTTGAAGCTCAATACGTATCATATTTTCAGGACTCTCTTAGTGAATGTAATTCTTAGACACTAAAGCCAGGTTGTCATTGATGAGAGCCAACTTTCTTCACTATCATTTGACAGATGTATTTGGACAAGTAATGTCTAGATTTGTTATTAAAGAGATTATAAAGGAAAAAATCTAGATAAGATTTATAGGTATTATTTGAGGATTCTAAAATAAATGTTTTATGTGAAGCTTTCTCTACTACCACTCATCTCTACTCCTGACTATAATAACTGAACTCTTCCATTTGTATTGCTTGTTCTATTAATTATAATATGCTATATCCATAATTTTTTGTACACAGTACTTTTTTCTATGCTGACATGATTTACAATTGGAGAAGGCAGTTTATAATAATATTCTGTAACCAGTAGCTTAAACATAAGTTGCAGTTTGTAAAAGTAATGCTTTTATTTTATGTATTGGAAGAATAAGTGGATGACTACAGAAACTTAGAAATAATTTATCTATTAATTCATATGCTCTAAAACAAAAATTTTCATGCCATACAATGCAAACTACATTTGTTATCCACTGACAAATGTTTTACAAAAAATTTTATTGTAAATGAAGAGTTTAAAATCAAAATTAAATCAAAATAAAATCTTTTTTTGTAAATCAGATTTGTCATTAATGGATATCTTCTTAATAAATGCTGCTGAAATCATAATCTTGTTCTTGAGGCGTTATTACATTTCCACAATGAACCATTTCACAAAACACAAAATGTGCTAAGTGGCTAAGTGACTCTTTATATCCTTGCTTCCTATGCCACACTGGTTTTATTCAGAGTCTTTCTTAGATTATGACAACCTGTAACATAACAGAAAGTTAACTTCTCTGTAAAACATAAATTTTTGAACAGTTATTACATTTTTATTGAAAAATGAAAAGTATGCTTCTTGGAACAACTTCCAAAGGATACTCTCCTTGTTGTAACAATAAAATTTACCTCCTGACAGCTGTGCTCATTCAGATCAATCACATCAATGTCAGCAGTCTGGACTACTGACAGTATCTCTTCAAGATAACCCAAAGATGCTCCAGATAGAGAATGAGCTCATCTTTGCAATATTGTAAAATGAAAAGACTTATTGCACTCCTTCTTAGACATGTTTCTAATTTGAGTACACTAAAAGAATTCTATGAATAAAATTATTTGATCTGTTAACTTATATATCCACAGACATTTTATCTATACTTATCACTAATATTGTACAGCAACATCTGCTAACAATTTCTTATGAAGTTTCTTCAGTGCTCAAACATTTTACTAAAAATGTAATTATCTGTTTTCAACACTCTCTTAGGCCAATTAGGAGAACATATTAAAGAACTGCACAGTGAATACTTTCAGAAAAATATCTAGTACTTGTATTCTATTAATTTTTTTTTTGTAAATCAGATTTCTTTAAATGAAGCATGTTGTGGTCCCTAAATGGAAGTAAATTTATTCTCAGACCATTGGTCAACCTAGAAATTTTTAGAATATTTTCAACATTTAGTTTATGCATTTAGAGGAGATGTTCTAAAGAATTTTTAATGAACAATAGTAAATATCACATGGAATTGTAACCAGGAATTGTGTTTATTCTTTCCACAAGTACTTATTGACTGTCTTCTCTATTTGACACTATGGAGTTATGCTATGGAAACAAAGATGAACAAACTAAGAATGATTTTTGTACTTAGATGCTTACATTGAAATAGGCAAAGGAAAAAAAACAGGTAAATTAATTAGCAAAGTTACTTTATTATACCAGAGAATGAATTTAAGCAATTATTCTAGAAAACAACTTGTCAGTATTAGATAAATAAGATGCATCTGTAATTACACACAATTAACAGGGAGTCGAATAACTTAGGTGTCCCTCATTAGTATATATCATCAGTAAAATGTGGTGGAACTTATCAGAAAAATACAATGCAGCAGTCAGATGCCACATAGAACTATTCTAAATGTATGTTGCCTCAAAGAATTAGCAAACACAATAAAAGTTATAGCACAATACCATTTATGTACTTAGGCAAATGAAAATATATACTTAATCAAAACTGCATTGCATATGTCCTAATAAAATACCCATACTTAACTACACATACTAAATATCAAGGCAGAGTCTCTGATGAATCAAGCATGGAATGATAGCAGAGATATAAAGACAAAAACAAAAAGTCATAGAAATAGCAAAAAATAAAACAAGAGGGAAATAACACACAATATTGCTGATAATTTCCAATGGATTGAAAATATTTCTAACCAACACTCTGTGTCTGAGATTTAGAAAATGTATAAAGGACAAAATCAGATGACTATATGATCAGAAAGTTTGCTGAAAAGTAATACAAATGGGGATCAACAGCATCATATGTAATCAGGAAATAGAATGTAAAGCAATGATAGGTTACTTATTTCTTCCTTTCTGGTGGCAAAAATGATAAAGTTTGTTAATATCCAGTATTAATGAAAATGGAGGAAATAATAAATTCTGTAAAATGTTGAAGGAAGTATAAGACTGAGCAATATTCTTTCAGGGCAAGAATTTTAAAGGTACATGCTTAATGACTAGCTATTTAAATTCTAGAAATACATCATAAAAGTAAACATACTAGCATGGCTTTAAAGAAGAATGCCACATTTCTGTTTCTGGTATGGCTGTATTACTCTCTTAAGTACAGGCTATTCTGATAACAGCTAAAATTCTAGATAAAATTGGAAATTTTATTTTTTAAAAAGGCAACTTTCTGGAAATTTTGTAGTGTAAACACAAAGAGGCAGATTGTTGAGGGGAGTCAAAAATTGGATAAGTGATTGCCAATTAGTTTCCTGTAATTTCTTTTTGATAGATTTTTTCAGAGAGAAAGTCTAAGTCATGAAGCAGTATGAAAAGTTAAAACTATGATACAAACTCTGATGCCCTTTTGGATGGGGGAAATAGAGAAAAAAGTCTAGGAAATCTTGGTGAAGTAAATACATGGATAAAAGGATCCCTTATTCTATGCATGAACACCACAGGTATACATGTAACAGACTGAGGGAAGCATTGCAAAGGCTTAAGGCATTGAACTGAGATTTTAAAAGAGATCATATACAGTAGGAGAAATAGTGCTTAAAGATTGAGCAAAATGTACACATTAAATATAATTATAACATCATAATTAGGTAAATAGATGCATACATATGTGTTAATAGTGTAGTGAAATATAAAATATATCATATTTAATTAAAAATATATATATATATATCTCCCTAAAAATGCACACACATTACTTAAGACTAACAATCTCCAGGAAATGAATAGAAAATATGCTATACCAATGGAAAATCTATAAATTCAGGATAAAACTAAAACTTTTCAAGACTTCTCCCTATTAATGGTGTAGGACTATATGGCATGTCTATAAAGGATACATGGTACATAAACAATTAAATGGCTACTCTTTTCATATCTCTTTTGGGCCACAGCTCTTCTCTATATATCATGAATCCCTTAATTCTATATAAAGATTTTTCCCCTTCCTACACATCACCATGCACATGGCCAAATATAATTACTCCAGCCCCTACACGTTGTATCAAGTTTCATCCATGGGTTCCCACCTATAGAGTATCAGGATATAATTTTGTAAGTGAGAATCAGATTGTCCTTCTTTACCCGCCTAAGATTGAACTGTTCTTGATTTGTCCACATTGATCCAGGCAGATGTGACCAAAGAAAAAGTCATGTTTTACAATGCTAAACTGGCTCTTCAGTATTCACTGTTGAGGGGCATTTATTCAGGGAAATGGTCTGGACTAACTGAGAACTTCAGTCTATGGCTCCTTCATCATCTGAAGAAGATACTAAGTAGAAAATTTTATCCTCCAAAGGCATATGAGCAAATTTACTATTGTTTAAAAGGTAAACTGAGACACAGTACAATTATAAGAGTTTATTTGGGAAAAGGGGATTCATGAATCAGACAGCTGCAAACAAGAAGTGGTTCAGAAGCTCCACCAGGAGGTTTTTATAGAATGAACATGGAAGTAAAGTAAAGAAAATATTTGATTGATTTGCAATTAGAAAGTTGCCCTACTTAGTCCATTCCACTGGAAATTCTCTAGTTATATATTTATAACTTAGTTGACCGTTTCTGGTTGGTTGATCTTACATTCTGCTTTTTTCTTTAATATCAGAATTTACAAGAAATAGCTCAAGTTACATTTTGCTTATGTTTGCAAATCAAGCAACACTGAGGTCACTTATGAGACCTAATTGGCTTTGTTTGCTCAGGGATTCTTCTAGTTTTGCCTCCCTTCTAGTATCATTTAACACCAATTACGTTCTCATCCCTCATTTTCTTTACAAATACATTCATTCTTACTATGAATCCCTAACAGACACCCTTATACTCAATGATTAAAACTTTTCTTTCACTGACTTCTTCCTTTTAAATTTGTCACCTATTTCTTGACATTGTTCTCAATTACAATCTTTCAGTATCTAGAAGGAATTGGTACCAGGAACTCCCCCAGATACCAAAATGCAAAGATGCTCAAATCCCTTGTATGAAATGGTGTAGTATTTGCATATAACCTACACACATCTGTCTGTATACATTAAATCATCTGTAGATGACTTATAATACCCAATAAAATGTAAATGCTATATAGTTCATTATATTGTATGTTTTGTTTGTATTTTTGTTATTGCTGTATTTTTTATTAATTTTTTTAAATTTTACTTTCAAATAATTTCTATCCACAGTTGACTGAATCCACAGACGCAGGAACTATGGATTTGGAGGGCTGACAATATTGATCAATGCTTTTTTTAGGTACCTTGCCTCCTATTGTTAGTAGTCGTATCCTTTAAACAAACAAAATATATTATTCCCAACCACTAATGCTTATAAACTTACAGTGTGCAGACAATTGAAAGGAGATGGATTTTATACTAGCAAAGCTCTAGTAAATTGGATTACAAACAACCAAGTATGCCAAGAGCTGTCAGATCTAAAAGCAATTATCTTGTAAAGTACTTTTACTTTGTCTAATTCAATGCAGTATATCATGCTACCTCAATGGTGCCAAATAACATGCAGACCCTACACAGGATAGAATACTCCTGTAATATACAGATGTGTTTCTAATTATAAGCTAAAAAACATCAGACTTTACAATGATAGCCTCTTCAAGTAGCATTGGGTGCAAAATCTGAGATAAACTTGACTAAATTCTCACTGTGGCTTAAAATTAAAGCAAGAAAAATGTAAAGAATGTGAAAAATGAAGACTCAAATTATGATTAAAGATGTCTAAAATTTTTCAAGTTTATTTGTAAGTTGTAGGTATTTTTATAGCATCATTTTCTAAAATAAACAAAAATTATCTCTTTAAATAAAGTAGATTATGTATTTGTATAACTAATTTGTCAATTGTTATTTTACAGCATTATACCCTCAGATACATAGTGTAGGGAAAAAACTGAACTTAAAAACATTTTATATCCATTTGAAGCAACTTCATATTTGCATAAATGGCATAATGATTCAACTGAATCTGTTGTATAGCAATACTATTAAATAATCTACATGTGATTTATAAAGTCAAGATAGCATTTCCATTTTTAAAATTATTTATAAAATTTTCATGACTAATGTATTTTGCTTTCTTGGTCTATGGCAGTTAATATGGAAACGAACTAAAAACAACCATATTTATGATGGAATCATATAATTGTTAAATATGACATTATTAATATTAGTTTTAGGGATTCTATTAGCTTTACATTAGCTTTAAGGATTATAATTCATATCTTATACCATTATTATTTGATTTCCAATGTTTTAGTTGTCCTTTAAAACTGATTAGTATTAATGTAGCTGTTTCATATGGCCAATACAGAGATAAAGGCAAACATGGTTTTTTAAAATTCTTCCAGTTGTGTGGCTAGATCTGGACTGGATCTTACACAATTAGCATTTTGGGCAATGTAATAGAACAATATAACAGATACGATAGTGAAAATTCTCTAGAAAAAGTCTGGCAGGCCATACACAGGCATTTATTATCTTCAATAAAAGCATGTACATATTTTTATTAAATAGTCTTCTACCACCACACTATATACTCTCAATATTAGGTACAGTTTCTCTATATCCTTTCCCTTGACACTGTTGACTCTCACGTCACACTTTGTCACAGGTGGTAAGTTAGCCTGTCCCCTTTGTGCTCCTTGCCTCAGCACTTCTTGGAGTAGAGTACTGAGAGCATTTTCCTAATAAGTTAGCTCCATTAGAGCCAAAGCATTGCATTTCTTATAGTCTGAACGCTCTGATAGGGCTCATCCTTCCCACCAGGAACACCACACTTCAAAATACTTATTTAATATATATTAAAACACATAATAGTAAACTTTATTGCTGAAACTGGATTGAACTTACTAGTTGCAACAGATAATCCTTAATTAAATGTTTGTGGCTTAACACAGGCAAGCAGAAAAACTCCATTAGGCTTTCTATGAAATATTAGAGATCACTACGAGACAATCATTTTAAGAATATTTGTGAGAATCATAATCTTGGCTTCTTTCAATGAAGTCCACTTTCTTCTTGAGATTCCAGTCAAATAACTACAAATAATAAATTAACCAGCATGTTTCTCATATTTTATTATATATTTATATACATATGTATACAAATATAAATATACATTGCCTTTGGTTGAGATGTATTATGATAAAAAGCTAGTTGTTATTTGTTTTCATTTTCATTTTTAATATACAGTTTTTTTGCTTTGTTTTCATATTAATAAGCATTTAGCCCTTTAAGTTTTATTTTATTTTTATTGACACATAAAATTTTACATATTTATGGGGCACAATGTGATGCTTCAGTAATTTCATATGTGGTGTATTTTTCTCTAAAATGTAGCATCAACAATTTTGGTAGAGAAAAAAATGGAAATTTTGACTAACTCTCATGTGCCTTAACATTCCATTTTGAATGCATTGTAATAGTTTCAAGGAAGAAACTATTAAGGTCATAAAAACTCTGAAAACTCTGCAAGATGATTCCAGTCATAGTGATCCCTTTATTGTATTCAAAATTTCTTTATTCGTGAACATTCACGTGTCACTAGCAATAATTACTTTTTAAAACTAAATATTTAAAATTATTATATATTACACAATAAGTATAATTACAAGGGTACCTTGCTTTCTTCTCAAACATAGAATATGTTAGAAGAACACTTCTTGTTTGTGTCAGCCTTTGTGTTATTGCACAAATGATGCACTCTGTGCTAAAAACACAGTGTACAGTGATTTTAGAGGTAAACTTTAATACACAGAAAGTTACCTTGACCATCTTAAATTCAGCTCTTTTTCATTTTCTACAAGGACAGTAGCAATTCTGCTATTCTTTTAAAGCATGTAATTATAGGAACAGGACACATCTGAGGGACTACTAATAAATACCTCTCCTCTAAGAGAGAGCCACATGGAAATCGTTACAGAAAGTGAAATATCCCCTCCTTTTAAAAACATAAAACAGGGCTTCTACAAACTCTTTAAAAACTCTAACTTCTAGAGATTCAATCATTCTCTGTCCTAGCACCCATCTTTAATGTCATTGTCTAATTTTTTATTCCATTTCAACACATAATATTTTCATTTTAAAGAGTTGTATTTTAACTCTTCCTAGCCAAATGATTCTAGTTCATTCTAGTTCATCTGTCATTTTGCTTGAGAAACTAATTCATAAATTAATTTAATATTAGTCTTTTGAGTGACTTAATTTTGCCAATTTCTAGGAACTATAGAACATACAAAAAATTGCCTATGGGAAATTAACACTCTTATGGAGGACAGTATGTATACTACATAAAAAGCAATGAAAGATTTTTAAAAACCTATAGAAGCCAATACAATCAATTTCTAAATATATATATAAAAGAAAATAATCTGTAGGAAGAGTCAGGAATGTGAGAAGAAATTTGTTGTTAGCAATTACTGAGACTTGTTTCTTGAAACATTTAGAACTAGAAATAATTCTTCATTAACCAGTACACAATGTGTAAGTGAAGAGGAGGAAAGGATAACATTCTATGTGTGAGAAGAAAGCAGAGGTACACCTGTAAATCTGAAGAGATGAGTGATCATTTATTTCCATTTATAAATCAGCATCTGTAGAATGTTACCTAGCAGTTGAAGTGCAGTAGAACAGCTTCAGAAAAAGGGAATTTAATATGATGAGGATGTAAAGTTTGAATTTGATCTCATAGGAAATGAAAGCTAATGGCAGGGATTTAAATGAGAAAGTCACTTCTATAGCAAGAATTTTGGCATCACTTTATAGACTTCATTTTAAATAATTTTCATGTAATTACAGTTAAACTGTAGCTTTTATTAAGTTTTGGTTATGGAAAAATACTCCCAAAAGGAAAATCAATTTCTTTTTCAATTATCCTTTTATGATATCTAAATCAAGTATACTTGCACAAGATGAAAGATATATGGTTCTATGCCAATTAATCTAGCACATAATCTTGTAAAAAAAGTTAAAGTTCAGGATATACAGGATTACATTTTCCTCAAAATTGATAGAAAATTTGAAAAAGTATAAGTATGAATGGTAGTAAGCAGGAGAAGTAGAAGTATGATAAACAAAATGTATCTACAGGAGCTTCCTAAAGAGGAAGAACTGTTTCCTTCAGAAAAGTTGTATAAAGCATGCAGTAGATAAAAATTATTTTGAATTGTCTTTGGACATTACTGCTATGCCTCTCGGACTATGGATTTTTTATTTAGAAATTATTTTAATAGAATGATAAGTTTTTAGTACTACAGACAATTTTGGAGCTTTATGTTATTTTTGCTCCTTTTGCAAAACTATGGTCACATATTTTCTGTCATTATTTTAATCAAGCAATTTATTATTCATTTAAGTACTTTAAATGACAGAAAGCCTATTAACAAAAACATATTTATATAGATATAACACACATATATTGACATATTTCTAAATGGCTCAAAAGAAGCATGTTTCTATTGAATCCTTTCTTAAGGTATAGTCCTAAGACTAGCAACATTAACCTCTCTTGGAAACTACTGAATAAGAAACTCAGGGGACTGCACCCATCAGTCTGTTTTTCCTGCCCTCAGGATGCTTCTGGTGGAAGTTATGGGAACAACTTAGATTAATGCAGTGTATTTATATGTTGCTAAATAAGACACTCATATTTTTGCATGTAATGATATTTTATCTTTTTCCGAATACTTATTATAATGTACTTGTAACCTATTCTTCCTTTTTTTATAATAATGCATATTATGTGCTACACAAATAACTTTTATAACAAATTTAGAATGATGTAGCACATATTTATTCTAAAATTAAATGAACAATAACATTAAAATAAAACAAAAGTAAGAAAAATATGTAAGATATAAATAATATAAAAATATATTTCCTATATAGAAATGTATGATTCTATTTTATAGTAGCAGATAAAATTTAGCTTAAGACAGCATATATATTTGTTAATTTTTATTTTTTTAGAAAACATCTGTTCTTTTTCTACTGTAAAACAAATATTAAAAAATATGTGAGTGTAAATTACCCTTTCAGAATTTACAAGAGATAATATCAAATTCCCTTTTGCTTCTCTCATCAGCGAGCTGCTAGAAAGCTATCAGGATTTCTACTTCCACTTTTTCACTCTTCAATTTTGTCTTTTAACAAAATAGAACTTTTAAGATCTGAAAAATAAAGAGAACTTTTTAAAATAAGAACATACCTATCTATAGTCTTTGACACTACACTTTTTAATTTAGCTTATTTTTTTTATGAATGTGAAAAAAGCCCCATCTCACATTCATTCCCCCTACAATAGTTCTGGTTTACGATAGTTTGCAAAATTATCGCTAATAGTTGTGTTTCTGTACTGTTATTATGTGTGTCTTAATACTAGAGATGCCTGAGAAACAATAAACATATTATACAGTCTACATTAATTTAACATTTGTCACTTTCCTCCGTTACCATTTTTCCCAAAGTTTCTATATTCTGAATTATCTCCCCCAGCTTTGCTCTCATAACTAGCATATTTTCTTATAAGGGTTAAAACAGTGTGCTTAGTGGGATGCTGAAACATATAATGTAAATAATACACACTATTTTGTATTATATTACAAAACAAAATAAAAATATCTTCATGTTATGAAGGAGCTTTACACACAAATATGTATTATAAAAATAAAAAGTATTGTTGTGTTTGCTTTTATTCATTAAAGATGAACTATCAGAAATTCCTCTTGTAAAATAATTAGAAAATCCTCCAAATATACAAAATACCTATATTTAGCCATTGAAAGATGGGCATTACAGGACTATGGTCTGTGATAATATGGAAACATTACGTGAGCCTTGCAACTGTCCCCCTGCCCCATTACTGCAAGAGGCAGTTTCCAAATTGCAAAGTAGGGAGTTGAAACCCAAAAAGAGGCCAGTGATATCTCTGATGGAAGGAAACAGAGTCAATGTTTGAAGAGATTGAGGTGGTTAGAATTTGTAGAGCAGAATACCAAAGAGGAAGCTGCAAAAAGTGGGGAATCCTATACATCTGCAAAGGTGTCTCCTCAAAATTTCAGCTGAAAGATTGTTTGTACTTGTATGGAGAAAACCTCAGTGGGACTGAGAGAAACAGAAGACAATAGACAGTGCGTGTCTCTGAGCTCACACAGGACCAAGAAGAGGTTGCAGCCCCATCGGCTAGAGGATGGACCTTGTGATACACGGGGCAGTTGTTAGAGTTCTAAATTAACTTTAGACTAAAGGGTCCTCTGTCTCTGACATAATCCTTGATTTTAAGGCTATTTGTGTATCTTCCTTTTCAGTTCTGCTTAGAGTAATAATTTATTTATTTTCAGAGTCTTTGGGGACTTCTGCATGGTAAGACTCATTCAGCACATATTGTTACAAAGGTAAATTTACCGCTAGAAAATTCAAAACACAATTCAAAAAATACTAACAGAATTACTAAAGCTTAGACAAGGCATTTTCCAAGAACTCGATGTATTAAGCCAACTAGTTTTAATTGTAATTAGTTACCAAGGAAGTAATAGAGCTGAAGCCTGCATAAATATCAAAGTACCAGATTGCATTTATCTATTTTGTCCTGTTAGACATTTGAGGAAAGTTCTTGAAATGTTACAGTCAGAATACAGTAAAGAGAGGTATTCAGAGGGCTTTTCAATCAATGTACTCTCCTTAATTACATGAAATAAATATGCCCAAATTCTTTCTGGAATCCACAGTTTTAAATATCTTATTAAGTGCCAGTGACAAGCTAATATACTTTCTAAATTCAGATTTGCATCATTTTTTAATGAAGTTGGGAGTTGGGAGGTTTTTAAAACTTATGTGGCTATTTGGGTATATTTATCTTCAAAATATGGCAACTGAACTTATATGAAATGAACCCTAAAATTTATTCCATATTAATTAATCATAATGCTATGTGAGTGTATTTGTGTAGGGAAAGAGAAAAACCCAGATTTTTCATTAGTTAACTTTATGGAAAGTATATAATTGTTTACCCCAATATTAAAAACACAATAGAATTATTATAAACAACCATTGTTAAATATTTTAAATTATTCTAATAAACCATGAACAGCTAAAATATCTTGTTGGCAAGTAAACAAAAGACAAGAACAAGTAGTATGTGTTATCATTCCTTTTTTTAACTAAATTGAATAATTTGGCCTCATGTTTAAGTTTACAAGTTTTTAATTTTATGATAGACATTTTCCCTGTAACCCTAACCATCAGGAAAAATTGTGAAATACTTTGAAATAGGCATAGTGATAAATGAGTGTTCTGGCTTCCTTCCTTACATTTTCAGGTTACTTGTTTCAACAGAAGCCTTACAATATAGCTAATGCAAATTATTCTTTCCACAGAAATGCAAATAATTATGTCAGCTGGTGATCCAGTTGGCAATTGTCTTGTCGATACGGACAACAGTTTCTTGTTCGTTTGTAAATTCACTTCAGTGTTCATGATTGCCTGTATGTGTGGGTGAGCGTGTTTGAATTATTTGAAATAGTTGTAACATCTCACTGGTTCTCTCATAAACTAATGAGTTAAATAATATCTCTGACGTGTTCATTTTATGTGTGTATGAGAGTTTTATTTTAGATTTTTAAAATATATTTTTAGCATTATAAGAAACTCACTTACCAATAGAAAGTAAGGGATCCTGGGTCCTGATTCTTTCCTAATTCCCTGGAGGAGAAATATTCTTTTGCTCATGAATTAGTAATTTTCAGAAATTAATGGTCTTGAGTAGTTATTTCTCTTACATAGATATTTGACAGAGGTGGCATGCACTTTTTTTCACAGTTACAAAAAGAAAAAATTCTACTTTTGACCCCCAGTGCTTTTCAGACATTAATGTGAATGAGTTATCTCGGGGTCTTGTTAAGAAGCAGATTCTCACAATCTGCATTTCTGAAGTGTTTCCACACAATGCCAATGCTTCTGCCACTGATGAATCATATTTTAGCAAGAAACAGACTATCCCTTTCTCGCTCCCTGGATATTTCTCTACTCCTTCCACAATTCGTGGAAGGGCAATGGAGATGTGTTTCTGATACAATTCATTCAAAACTCATAAGGCAATGCCTTTCCTTCAAATGTCAGAACATTATTTTAAATAAAATTTAAATAGTATCATTATAAGCATATTTCAAAGACGTGAGTTTTAATAGGCATTCGTTGACTCTTTGAGATTTATCATTCAGAGCTCTAATTTTATGGAAAGAAAAGTTACAATTTTAAAACAGCAAATTTAATGAACTTTTGGAATAATGCCCATTTATAAATTTAGAGTTGTCTATAATTTATAAATCCCAATAAACAATAAAGACAGAAATGGGTAATACTACCATGAAACCTACATTGAAACAGGTAAAATTCTCTGATAAAGGGTAAACATACTTGGAAATAAACTACAAGCCTACTTACAATAAATTATCATATACAATTAAATAATTATGGCAAATAATGAAAACAACAATTGATAATTGAATTGTAAAATAAACCACTAACAAAGCTGGAGTGTATAAAATAAAATTAATATCACTATACAAATATATCACATTTCAATGCGTATTTTATAAGTTAGGTTGATAGACATAAATAGATATGAGTGTGTCATAAATATTGGAAATCAAGACATCTAGACAATGGGGATAAAATATAAAGACACATCTCAGAAACCCTAGAAATACACTAGAAGAAAAAATTTTCACAGACAATATTAAGCAATGTAAAAATGTTCTCTGATCTATATGTGTAAAGTATTATGTGACTATGTATATAGAAATGAGATATTCTGTTTCTAAAAGTCAGAGATGGCCTCACAGTGGAAGCAAGGCATAAATAAGACGATGAAAAATAACGTGGTTTCCTTAACTGAAGATGGGAAAATATTTCCAAAAACACAGAGGCTGGAAGAAAGTTTGTCATCTTTAGGAATTCAGGAGTAAGCCAGTGAGCCCACATTGCCAGGCACCTGGGATGGGCTGTTCTGTAGGCAGGGACTGGGGACATGTGTGGAACCCTAATCAGGAAAAAGATAGGCCAGGATAGGAAGTTTAGACTTGAAATTCTTCATCAGGACTGTCCAACAGAACTTCTGAAGCAATAAAAATTTCTATATCTGCACTTTGCCAAATGTATAATCCAATAGTCACATGTGGTTATTGGGTATTGAAATGTAACTAGTTTAGTAAAGAAAATAATTTTTAAATTTTATTTAATTTTCTGTGGTCCCATGTAACTAATAGCTACTGTTTTAGGCAGATCAGCTCTAGACCAATCATTTTACACTAGAAAATGTATTCAGATGTACCGAACTTCTTCCCAAAGGGGCATACATGCAACTGAACCAATGCCATATATATATTTTTTTCTTGAGACTGCTGGTTCTCCTGTCTCACTCCATAAAAGAAACTCTTTGCACTCATCCAGATATTACTATTGTACCTAGCCCCAGGGAATAAATAATCTGCATCATGTTTGTTGATGCTACAATGAGTCTAATAGCTAATCGACACTTGTTTTTAGAAAATAATGTCATTTCTGTATAATTGTTTCCAACAATTTTAAAGAAAATCTGATTGATTGTACTTGATAGACAATGAAAATATACTTGTGACCACTTTATTGAAATGTTTCACCTGACAAAAAATCACCAAAGTGTGCAATTCAATGGATTTTGGTAATTTAGAGAGTTGTGGCAATAATCAGCACAATTTTAAAACTTTTTATCACTCCAAAAATAAACCCCATGCCAGCAGTCACACCCTATTTCATCCAATACACCCAGCCCCAGGAAAACACCGAGATACTCTCTGCCTCTATAAATGTTCTTATTACTGGCATTTCATATCAGTGAAATCATATAATACATGATCTTTTATGACCATTGTTTTTCACTTAGTCTAATGTTTTCAAGGTTCATCCATATTGTATCAATTATCAATAATTCATTCCTTTGTATTTGTAAGAATATTCCATGTTTTATTTATTCACTTATCTTTTGATGAGCATTTAGCTAGTTTCCAATTTTGGCTATTATATATGATACTGCTGCAAATATTTGTATACAAATTTTTGTATGGACAAATGTTCCCATTTTCTTAGATATATACCTAGGGGTAGAATTGCTAGGTCATAATGTAACTAACTCTATGTTTAATTTTTTTGAGGAGCTGTTAAACTAACAACTGATTAGCATATCCTTCCGAAAATGATGTGTTTTCTTAATGTGTTCACTTTCAACAATATTGAGAGATAATCTAATTGACTAACAGGCCATTAAAATATATTGTATGGCATATCATGATGTGATTTTTGGTATATGAGCTCAAATAATACTTTAAGTAATGTTGCTGGGCAAAAAGAAAATAAACATACTCATCAGCAATTAAGAGAAATAATATTTTTACAAATAAGATTAATGCAATGAATTATTAATAAAAAAATCAAAATCTTTAAAAAAGAAACTATTCTTTAACAGCTACATAAAACCATATTGGAACATGAAGCCAAAGACATGAGATCTCCCCAGAAATCTGAAGCAGTTACTTTTACTTTCTGTACTTTATATTGTAATATAATTATTTCTGTAATATCAATACTTTTTTAAATTCTTTAACCAGGATGTAACTTAAGCCTATTGTGCAACCAAGACCATATGTGGAGTGTCCTGTTTGAATTTATATGGAGCCAAGCTTTACAAAGTCCTGCAGAAAAAGTGGCCTAACATTGGGTGTAGAGAATCCTACTCTTACAGGTGGTAAGGGAGGTCAATTGTAGGCAGACTAGAAAATTTAGAAAATTATGGAGGTCTCATGAAGGGCATAATTCACCCACATTTACAAGTACTGCATTTAAAATCTGGTGGAGAAGGTTTCCTGAAGGGTTTCCTATCAGCCCGATAAAAGAGCTAATAATAGAGGCTTTGAAAGTTCCATATAGGATTCCTTATGAAAGCTTCCAGACAGAAATTTGTCCTGTGGCCTTAGAATAAATAGCTTCTGGATCTATCTTTGCAACACAAACTCAAGAGCTACATTGATACTAAATGTACTGCATTAATGAAATAATAGATAAAAATGAGTGTGGCCTTTTTTGAAATAAAATAATTGTTCCAAATAATGTATTGTGTCAAGGGGAAGGGCATTGCTGGGAAAATTTGCCCAATCTTTGGTAAAAAACAAAAGAGATTACCGGGTGTTCTTTCAGTGTAGTTCTGGTAATCTAGCAGATGCTCTTGGTATTGACAGATTGTATAAAAAATGAGCACTCTGTTGCTCATTTGCTTAAATAAATAATAAAATTGATCAGTCAACACCTGTGTTGACAAGGCTATTTTAAATCTCTGCTATTTTTTTAAATGTCTAATTCCAGTTGTTCATTGCTGGCATATAAAAAAATAAATTTTGTATATTGGCCTTTGAATCTAAAACCTTGCTATACTTTCTTATTACTTTCAATAGTTTCTCTGAAGATAGTTTTCTACATAGGCAATTATGCCCTTTGCCTGTAAAGACGGTTTTTTCATTTCCAATCTGTATTATTTTTAAACTTCTTCACTCTGTTATTTACTTCCTGTTTACTTTCTGATCTGACAGAATACTTTGTATGATTTCAATTTTTCTAACGTGTTGAGGTGTGTTTCTTGGCTTAGAATTTGGCTTATCTTGGTGAATATCTCATATGAGCTTGAAAAATTTGTGTATCCTGCCCTCATTGAATGACGTATTCAATAAATGCCATTTAAATCAAGTTGATGGCTGGTGTTCAAGTTAACTATATCGTTACTGAGTATGTTCCTGCTGCATTTGTCAATTACTGATAGATGTTGAAGTCTTCTACAATACTGTGACAAAATTTTTAACACACTCTTTTGTGCCTTTATCACTTTCCTCATCAAATGCGTTTCTTGCTTTAGTTTATACAGTCTGTACACAGAATTGTTTCTCTCATATCTAGTAGTTTTCAGCTTGTAGTGACTTTAATTTCTAGTGAAAATGCTAGAAAGTAATTTTGAATTGTTTTGTACCCATATTTGTGGATAAAAACCATTTGTAAGGTGATTTTCTTTTTGTAAGGGTTGGAGTGGGAGTACATTCTTATTCTGGAATGTGTTGTTTACAGGAGAAAAACAAAACCTAATCTTTTCTAGGAACTACATGTTTCCTTAAAGTCTTAGTTTGATTATGACACATTTAGTATGAGTGACTCCATTTTGGTTTGGTCTGATCTTTTGGGGCCTAGTGCATGAGCTCACTCCAAAACAATGGCCTTGTAATTTTGTTTAAAACTTCCCCTGTTTCGGTCATGTTCTCACTTAGGTGAGAGTATGACCAAAATTTAGGGTCTTAGTGCCACTCTCAGTTACCATCATTTTGGGTTTCTGGTTTCAGCATATCATTCACAGGTTATGGTTCCCTCATGGTCACACATTTCTTTCAGCTCTTGCCATTCCAGTTGAAGAGAGAACATCTGACATTCTAGAGACGGCTGAGTGCAAACATTTAAAACTTTCAAGAGGATACATGCAAAGGGAGACTACTACTGTGACTACCAGGAAGATAATACCAAGAGTCTGAAGTATGCTCATACTCCAGGGTCCCCATAAAATAAACCAACTAAAATCAAATAGATCCATGAATTAGCTAAAGAGCCTACTTGCTTTAATCAAGCAGTCTTTTAATCAGTGCCCTACAACTAAATCTTTCTAATACCCAATGTAATGTGTTTCTCCATGGACAACAAGTGCCAGCAGCTGCCAGATACATCTCTGTTTAGCTAGTAAGTAATCTAGAGCAATTCTATTATTTAGCATAACTTTCACAAGAAAATTTGAAGTCTGTTGTGTAACCATAGACTTTAGAGTATAATCTGCTATACAGCCTAATATGAGGGATACATTCCTAATCATTACCTCATTTAATCCAAACTATAGAAAAAAGGATCAAATGATGCCCTTTTAGAAGAGTGAAGACCTCTCAACAATGTTCTCTTTAACCCTTGGTATAGGTTAAGAAGGGTGGACTGATGTTCTGTTTCAGACTATGAGGCATTATATGTACCATTAAAATTTCTCACCTACATTGGGCCTTCATATTCCATTGATTAAGGGATGAGGTTATCCTTGTATAAGGCTGGCTGCAAAAACCCTTCACAAATATACGTATAACCCATGAGTGGAAAAAACAGACCTCCTTTTCACTTCTATATTTCATAGAGGTATAAGCCATGAAAAAAAAAATTAAAGATAAGAGTATCATTATAGTAGAGAAGTCTTGATCTGTGATTTTGAGAAAAAGCTGACCTCATCAAGGATGCTGTCTTCTTCTGGGGAGAAACTTCCCTGGTTAGCTTTACCTTAATGGTTCCAATGGGTGTACAGTTCAAAAAGTATGGAGGGAGCCTTCTGAGTTGTGAGATTATGAACCCAAGGTTCAAGGTCCTGAAGTTTTACTGCAGTGTGGCTAACAAGGGCAGTGTTTCTCTGATGTTCTCAGAAGATCCAAGCTTGGGGTTCTAGATTGTGAAGGGGTTAATTGTCCTCAGTCAGTGAACCAGAGAAAGCCTCCTTTATCTGGTGATAATATACTGTGGCATAATGATCTACTGTTGTAACATCAGCCCTCTAGCATGGAAAAGCTTTTATACAACCAGAAAACATGAATTAAACATGACAACTGAATGAAATCCCTCTATAAATGTTTAAATGGCCCATCAAGTAGCCGAATATACCTAAAGTTTTGATTGTCTTCCCAGGAATAAGTGTTTGACAAAGCAAACATTGGCCATAAACTATTTTAGCAATTTAGAAGTTACCACACTAATATATACATTTAATTTGGATAATTTTATCTTTTCCATGAAGAATCGTGGAATGCAGAACTTTTAATAACAAAAGTTTTAATGACTCAGGAAAACACTAATCGTAAACTCTTTTAGTAATTTAGAAGTTATCACACTAATATATATATTTAATTTGGATATTTTTTTCTTTTCCATGAAGAATCATGGAATGCAGAACTTTTAATAACAAAAGGTTTAAGGACTCAGGAAGGGCAAGGTGGTCATCCTGGTTCTTCATGAGTTCATGCTTAACACTGAACTTACGTCCTTTTGAATGCCAGTTGTTTCTCCAATTTAGGTGCATAGCACTTATAATTGATGGGTTATCATAGGTAATTTTACTGAGATCTTGTTGTTCATTGAAATTGTATATATAAACAATTTCAGTACTGGCTGATTTAGCAGGAAAATCTGGCAAAGTATTTTCCTGGTATTCTATTAATTTTTGTCTTGCTTGTGATAGCAGTTTATAAACCAGTTAATCTCTTTATTCAAGTTTCAGGAATTCTTAAAGTCCAAATAATATAATTCTAATGTGATCAAAAACCCATATTCTAGAGCGTTTCTCAGGGTCTTTTTCATCCGTTCATAAATGGACTTCCTCAAATACCCCATATTCTAGGATTTTGTGTGCTTGCAAAGTTTTCAGAAACTGCAACAGAGAGAAGCAATTAACTGTGGAAATGACTTTAAGTAGTCACAGTTAAAGACACAGTTGGCAAGGAAATTTGGTTATTTCTGTGGTCTACAATAACTTCATATAATAACCATAATTATGATTGATAGCACATATTCAAACATATCAGAATTTTAGAAATCCCATTCAATTTTGGAATGTATATTAATAACTTCATTAAAATATAATCTGAAGAAGGTTAAACATTATTTCATATTTGACAATGCACCCCATGTAAATTAATATGTCAAATAATCCTGTTTACCTCTCTTTTAAATGCTTCATGGGCCCTCTGTAACATCCCGAAGTTAGAGGTCGACAAAGACTTAGTTTTGAAGAAGAAATTTGATTTTGGGAAGCCTTTCAAATGTGTTAAAGGCTTAAAGCATTAGACCAAAATAGTATCACAAATCACCATAAAACAATAGTCATTCATTCAACCAAAGTGATAATTAAAATATTTGTAAAAGCAAATACCTATAAGCTTTGAAAAAGGACACTCAGTTTTCCAGTCAGAAGACTTAAGACAGTATAAAATAGAATCTATCTATACTTCTTTCCTCTCTTTCTTCTTCGTCTTTTTGCAGTTTACTCAAAAGACAAAAATATTTTACTGTGTCTTGTTAATACTAAAGAAAATTTTGTTCAAAACAGAAAACTAGATTTTAATGTCATATTAGTGTATCAATACTAAAACTAATTTTAATAAGACTTCATAAATAAATTTATCAAATATGTCATCTTTTGAAAACAAAATTTGCATAAGACTTTTGTTTTACATGTTTCCCTGACTTTCTATAGTCATTTTGATTTATTTTTTATTTCTTCCATTTGAAAACTTTAAATAACTTCAAACCAAAGTTTTTAACACACACTTTTGTTCTTTAATAAATTTATTCATCAAAAACATATATTGCTTTTGTTTATAGACTCTGTATACAGAATTGTTTCTTTAATATCTAGTAGTTTTTAAATCTTAGTAATCCTAGTATGTAGTGAAAACCCTAGAAAGCAATTTTGAACTGTTTTATATCAGTATTTGTGGAAAAAATATAATTTTTTAGAAAAATAGTTCTTCAAATTATTGTTTATTAACAGTCTATACATATTTAGCTTTTCTATACCATATAAAAGTAATATCAAAATACATAGATTTAGACTCATGTTTAATAATTAATATTTCAGTATCTTAACTTACAGATGAGTCAGATATTTTATGATTATTTATTACTTAACCTTTTTCCCATTTAGAAAAAAGAAGCACAGCTTGCTTGTAGCGCTCATTTAATTTTACGAAAACATGCTCCTTGAAGCTGAAGCAAATCTAACTGATTTTCAACATGACAATAAAATATAAAAACTGTTTTTGGAGTTCTTTCTAAACAGATCTGTCTAAACAGATGACATCAGAATCATCTGAATCATCAGAATGGTCTATTTTGGAAAAATTGGATTCATCAAATTAATCTTTGTCTAACAACTGTGCAAGAATGATGTTAACGTTACATGTAGTAATGCTACGTTTTCTAGGATTTGACATTTTCAGCAATTGAGAATTACTATATTTTGTATATGGAAATACCACTACTAAAAACAGAATGCTATAAATAGAATGATTTTTTTATTTGCAAAGTCAATATGCTTGAGAAATTTGAAAATAATAACAAAAGTGAGATATTTCATGGCAAAATTATCTCGGGGTAAATGCTCCAGCTACAAGCACCACTGGTGAGTATACTTGGGGTAAATGGGAAAAAGGTTAATTTAACATAACATAATTCTAAGATTTTAAATTACTGAAAAGAATGTTGATACTATGACACGGGTAGCCTCCCTAATGTCTTTCTCCAGTCATTGTACGTTTCAAGTAACCACGTGGCACCCAGGAGGACTATGAAAGTCAGGACTATAAGAACAGAAGCTGTGAAGACTATATCTGGAGGATACAACCCCTCTCAAAATAGCTAGGAGGTGAAATCAGAAAAGCAGAGAAAGAAAGGGCTAAATTTGGCTCGATTCTGGCTTATAACTGCTGGTCTAGGCACTAAGAACATGTCTCCAGATTTCGTTATGGCCACCTATCCAGAACCCTGAATCCAGCGACTGTAAACCAAAGACGTAAGTTCACAGTCAAATCAAGCAAGTATCTAATTACAATTAACTAATAATTTTGAAGCCATTTATATTGTACCAATAATTTTAAAACTAGCTTTATTAACCAACTATCACATACATATAATACATAGAGACATACAAACACACAGGAGCAGATCTCATAGCTCTCATAAAGGATTTCCATTTACCAGCTTTTAAATATTTTTTTTTCTTTTCCCCACTCGGTCTATCAGTCTTCCAGTTACCTGTTTCATTGCCATAAGCAATTGCTAACTAGGCAACAAATTTGCATTTCTAAAAGAAAAACTTTTAGATGGAACAAAAAATTTTATATTTTGTAAGCACAGACCTAAGATTTCAGGCCTAAATATTGTATCATCATTTGCTCAAACCAAGGGGAAAAAAACTGCTCAAGTAAAAGCTCGCTTAAGACAAGATGGCCAGAAAAGCACCTTAAAGAAACATATTACTTAATATGTAAATTTAAAAGACTGGTAAGATTTTTGAATATGCAATAGCAGATATCCGTAAAATTGGAGATTTCCTTGATAAATGTGAATTTCTTTTGCAAAAGAGTTTCAAGATAGCCAATTAAATTTCAGAAAGGTGTATTTTACTTTAGTAGGGTATTTTAGTTTAGTAGGGTATTCTTTTTTAACTTACATACTGTTTCTTAGCTAAAATTACTAAGTTCAGTATGCAGCCCTTCAATTAGGGACAGGAAAGCATTCTTAAGGCCTCAGGATGGATGTATCTATAAAAGAAGCAAGCCTATTCTACCTGTGAGCCTACCTTTTATAAACACCTTATCTAGGATAGCTTTCTTTCCACCTTTGGGGTGGGATACCAACTAAGCCAAAAGGTTAGTAGTTTTAATTTTTCTTATCAATCAGTTGCTTAAGCTTGTTATTTGCTTTTCATAAAGTCTTTAAATAAAAATAAAATACTTAATAAAAAATGAAATGCTTTTTGAAGCTTCTGCATATCAATACAAATCTCTAGATGAGAATAATTTGGGAGTCTTCATTTTCAAATGTACTTCTTCAGTGCTGTGTTGCTTATTTGGAATGTTCCACTGTAACTTTATATTTTAGTAAGATTTTACTGTTTCCGTAAGACTTGCTGCTTCTGGGGCCCTAATAATTATGCATGTATAAGCTAGAAGGAATTCAGATCTTCAGAAATTATGCATCCCATTTTTACTTCAAATATTGGCTTTGTCTCTCGGGTTCCCTTGATCAACTTAGCCAATGATATTTTTTCCTTACCTAAGTGATATGGTTTGACTGTGTCCCCACCCAAATCTCAACTTGAATTGTAGCTCCCAGGATTCCCATGTGTTGTGGGAGGGATCCAGGGGGAGGTAATTGAATCATGGGGGCCGGTATTTCCCATGCTTTTCTCAAGATAGTGCATAAGTCTCACAAGATCTGATGAGGTTATCAAGGGTTCCCACTTTTGCTTTTTACTCATTTTTCTCTTGCTGCCAGCATGTAAGACGTGCCTTTCACCTCCTGCCATGATTCTGAGGCCTTCCCAGTCATGTGGAAATATAGGTCCAATTAATCCTCTTCTTCCCAGTTTCCAGTATGTCTTTACCAGCATCATGAAAACAGACTAATACACTAAGCATGCAATAAAAATAAACAAATGGATAGAATACAAAAATCCCTGCAAATTTTCAAAAGACAATACTTACACCATCTGCAATATTTTCACTTACTGTCAGTTTATTTCTGATCCATTCAGATGTAAGAGACCTCTAACTGAATCCAAGCTAATTAATTATCAGATCCAGTCCAATCTTGAGCCCACTCCTATTTCTGTCATTACTTCCAAACCCAATTTGGATCAGAGATTTGCTCAAAGAAACCTGGAGAGCTCAAAACACAAATCTATGAAGCTTCAGAATCCAAGAGAGCACTTATCACAATCCTCAGTTGTTCTGAGAAAACAATGGACACAATGGGTCTGATGGGTACCTCACTTTGTCACTTGGCACTCCTGAGGGTTGCTAAAAGCTCTACTTTGTATCCCACTTCTGACACCATCTGTTCAAAAAAAAAAAAACTGTAGCTGAATTAAATTTAAAAGAGCTTAATTGAGCAAAGAGCAATTTGTCAATTGGGCAGCCTCCCAAGCCAGAGTAGGCTCAGCAACTACAGCACAACCACATGATGGAAAAAGATTTATGGACAGAAAAAGGAAAATGAGGTACAGAAAATAGAAGTGAGGTACAGAAACAGCTGGATTGGTTACAACTCAGCATTTGCCTTATTTGAACATAGTTTGAACAGTTGGCCACATTTGATTGACCAAATCTCAGTGATTGGCACAAGATAGGCTATAGTCTGCTTATACCTCCACTGAGGTTATAGTTCATGATGTAAAGAGAAACCTTTAGGCCAAACTCCAGTATAGTCCTTAACATACTAATCATAACTTTTTAAATACCCTGTCTCATATCTGAATTCTGTGTCATAATTGAGTTGGGTTCTCATGACTTCTTTGTATCGTCAGCTTATGTTTTATTTTTTTCTCATTTTTGACATGTCTTTCACATGCTATATTACCCATACATATGGGTAATAGCGACTGAGATAGATTGTGAATAGCAGGATCTATGTTAATCTGGCTGTGGGTTGTTCTGTACTTAATGTTTGTTGTGGCTATAGGTGCCAGATGCTTCAAGTTCTGTAGTGTGTTTGTTCTTGTCAACATTTTTGTCTTTGGGCTTCCCTTTGTACCTCTCCTCATAAACAGAGTCTGAATCTTACAGTTCTTTAAGTTGTTATGCTGGAGCCCAGGTGGTATTAAGTTTGGGGGAGGAAATGCATTCTAAAATCATCTGAATAAATCTGTCTTTCATTGTGCCTATGTCTTGAGCTTGTGAGTTTCTCAAGTATTTGTTCGAAGGTATTGCATTATTTTCTCCCAACCTCCTACTCCTTTCAGTGGCTGCAGCTTTCTTGATTTATTTTCTTGAAGAAAGACCTGACCTCTATGCACTATGATTTTATTCCTTTGGGGAGGAATCCCCTTCTCAAATTGGGAATAAGTGTTAAAATTAAGCTCTGGTAGAGTCTTATTTTCCAGAGAGTCGGAATTTCTCTGTGGAAGAGGTTCTTCATCTGTATTTCAATGGATATTCTTCCTGACAAGCATAATGACTACTTTAGAGACCCCTAAAAGGTTTTGTAGATACCTTTTAAGTTCTTAAAAAACTGAAGGAAATGTCCATTGTTCAGTCTTCAGCATCACACAAAAATTAACAATTTAGTATAAGTTCTCACACCTGCCTCACATAAGACTTTGAGCTCCTCAAAACCAAAGATTTTCTTGTTTTTCTTTTTCATAGTCACACAACTAGTACCTATCATAATGCTTGGTATAGAACTCATGCTTTATAAATATTTTTTTCTGAGCCATACTAATAAATAAGCACCTGATTTATTTTATGCTGCTTTGGCAAGTAAATATCTATATGCGGTCACATATAGTACAGTAGAATGCAATAAGAATAAACACAAAAACTAAAGGAGCAGAAAGAAAGTTTTAAGTATAAAAAAATAAGTTTTAAGTACTGAAAGGGTTCATTCCATATCTTATTGATGTTAAAGTCAACATTTCTTTATACAAAAATATGTCTGTCTATGAAATCTACCAAAATTACAGAAGAGTAGATAAAATTCCAGGGATTCTCAAGGTTATTAAAAATGTAAATCATGTTGAATTTGGTCTTTACTGGCATTTTGGCAGTTTACTATTATTTACGAAACATTGCAACCTCTGACATTTTGATTCATAAATAATTTAATGTTCTTTATAAGATTAAATTTTTTCTTAAATGTAATTGCAAAATTAAACAGGTCATTTATTAAAATTATATATTATAACACTGTAGTAGAACCTGTCACACTTTTAATACAGGCCTGGATAACTAACTAATAATCTTAATACGCAAGACCAATAATTGAAGATTACATATGGACATAGAGTGTTTAAATCACTCGATATTATATAATGTATTGCTAAAATAATCTTTGGCTTACAGATTTGCTATATGGACTATAAAACAAAGTGTTAGAGTGCCATCTCCTGGAAAGTATGATGATCTGGAAGAGGAGGTGTGATTGAATATGAATTATTTATTTAACAGGTTGTTCAGTTTAATCAAAATAATGAGGAAGTTTAAAGAGAAGGATAAGCTTGTAGATTTCTCTTCTGAGGATAATAACAGTGTTCTAACATAGAGTAATAGAATATTAAATATTTTACTCATATATGTAACATTATTATTTCTTTACCTTCCAGAAGGTTACATCAACATACACCACTACTTTGATGTTAATATTTAGGACATGTGCTGAGCTTACAAAGCACGTAAGATAAATCATCTCAGTTCATTAAATTAACTTCCTGTTTAAAATCAGTTAGGACTCTCACTTTATAGGGGCCCCTCACTCATTTTCCTAATCTTATGACCATTATAAGAAATTGTTAAAATATGAGTGGCTATACAAGGTATTCAAGTCATTTAGGGAAAGACTATAAGTTTATTGAGAATACATTTCTGTTCCTCCATATCAATCCCAACCTTAAACTCTCTTTTCTTCATTTTTTTTTGGTTTATAACAAAAAGCCTTCAATGATTTAAATTTATTTTAGCATATTTCCTATTAGAAAAGTCACTATTGCGCTATTGAGTCCCTTATGCTCAATATTTAACCTATTTCATCTTAAATTTCTATCAATGGAATTATTATTTATAAATACATTTTATTTTTTACTTTTCATGTTTGTATGATTTTAGTTATTTTATGTTAAATTTCTAAATATTTTAAATTATTTTCAAAAATATTTTATTGAACTATAAACAAATACATAACAAAATTTTGTCTCACAAATTACTATTCGGTTTCATGCTCATTTATTTTTTAATAGTCAGTGTATTACTCATATTATTCTTATGGCATTTTTGTAATATTACATGGGAAATATTACTTTAAAAGTTGTACCTTAAACTTACCAAAATATCATATTAATGATAAGATTTATTGATTCACTATGAGTTACTAGTTGACACTCTTAAAGCTACAGATAAATATACTGTAAAAATACAATAAAATACAATAAAAATTATCCCTATTTTTAACATAAACTATCCAGCAAACAACCATAAATGTCAAAAACTACACTCTTATTAGTTTTTTTTAATATATACCAGTTTCTATGTTGAGAAACCATGGCAATGATTACCATGTAAGAATTAGTGGAATTTAATATTTTTTAAGTTTTAAATCTTTCTTTGAAACTTTATCAAATTCATTGTAGAATTATACACAACATAATGCATCCATTTAAAGTAGGCAATTCAATGAGTTTTGACAGCTGTGTACACCATTGTAACCATCAGCAAATTGACGATAGAGAACAGCTCTCCAACCCCAGTCTATCACTTGCTTTAGGCAACAATTATTGGCAATTTTATCATCATAATTCTTTGCATTTTTATATAAATGTAATCTTGCAATATGTAATGTTTTTTCTCGGTTATTTTATTCAACATATTAATTCTGACACTCCCCTATGTGTTTGCATTTACCAGCAAAGTTTGCTATTTTTATTGTTTATTTATAGTACCTAATTTACTTACTGTTAATAAAATTTTCCCCTAATTTTAGACTTGGATGATATAGCTGCTGTAAATAGTAGTGTATATATCAGTTTTCACTTTTTCTTGGATAAATATCCAGGGGTACAATGGATGTATCATAAAGTACATTTACGTTTAATGTAACTGCAAAGTCTTTCTTGGATATATCAGCAAAAAGACCCTTCTTTTCCTCCATGAACTCTCATGGCCTGCCTTATATATCTGATTTCTGGAAATAATCACATCATCTTGTGGATTACTTACATGTACGCATGCTTTCTTTACTGCTAGAAACCACATGAAGACAGAGACTTTTTCTCATTTTTCTATTTTCAAATACAATACTCTCTCCATCAAAGAAGGTGTTTAACAAATGTGTGTTTCAAAAATGAAAAATCTCAATTTTAATGCAGAAACCTTTTCATATATTTCACTTTGGTCCCAATCCCCTCGACATGAGGTACTCACCAGTGTACCGCCTGCTATATTCAATACCTATTACTATTGTTTTAAAAGATAATTCAGTATTGCTTTTAAGGACATGTGAATGGTAAGAGTGCAGTCAAGTTGTTTTTCCCATGAGAGAAATGAGATTACGACATGTGATCAAATCACAGGAGTACTAAAAGCCTATATTGACACAGGAGGAACATCACACTCTGGGGACTGTTGTGGGGTTAGGGGAGTGGGGAGGGATAGCTTTAGGAGATATACCTAATGCTAAATGACGAGTTAATGGGTGCAGCACACCAGCATGGCACATGTATACATATGTAACTAACCTGCACATTGTGCACATGTACCCTAAAACTTAAAGTATAATAATAATAAAATAAGATAAAATAAAATAAAATAAAATAAAATAAAAATTAAAATAAAATAAAATAATAAATAAATAAATAAACTTGATACTTGGATAAAACCTCTTAAAGGCCTATTTGAAATGACTGGTATGTAGCAGATTTAGTTCTAAGTGAGACAGGAATGAAGTTTAAAAAAGGGTTCTTGCCTGGTGTAAACTATCAGCGAACTTCAACATTATTCTTACCGCCTTCTTTGAAGGTCAAGATTGCATGCTGACCAACAAGAGAGAAAGGTAAGAAGACAAGAACTTAGCCACCAGAAATGAGATTAAATGTGATTTCATGAATGTGAAATACCTTTTAAAAAGTCAATGTGCTAATTAAAAGTGCTCTTGGACATGAATAAGCCAGATATCTCAGCAATATTTATAGATACAATCACTGCTTTAGACAAGCCAAATGATACATCCAATACACTAAGAACTTTCCTCATCAGACATGATGAGTAGTAATTATCCACCTCCTTTAGAAAATGTATTCCTCATGTTCGATAGAAAGATTCTGAATCCACAAGAGTGTTTTAAAGATCTTTTGAGAGAAAAGATACTACCATAAAAATTTACTATGGTTTGAAGAGTGACAGCACAGGGACACAATCATTGGCTACAAATATTTTAATCATTAAATTAATTTAAAAATAAATTCAGTTTTACTGTTTTAAATAGCTCTTTGTTTTAAATCATTTTACTGGAATGATTAAAAATCAGTTGAAGATTGTTCAAAGTTTGTGTCATAAAGTATATTAAATTTAGAAGTCAAATAGGTAATTACATGTGGAATATTAAATATGTACTACAGAGGTGGCATTATCAAAAAGAAATAGATAACTGATTTTAAAAGATTATTTCTAAGAAAAAAATGAGAGAAAAATGATCAATCTGTAAATTCAATATTTCATAGCATTGATTTAGATTATTAAGGTAAATAATTTTAACAGGCAAATTTTCCTGTAGTATTTTAATTAGACTTAATTTTATTCTATCAGTCATTTATATCTTATTGTAAATTAGTTCTACCACAAATCACCTTACTCTTTATCTATTGTATTTACATTTTTTTCTCCTATTCTATCAAAACTTACACTTTTCTAAGGAGCATGTCCTGGCTTGAAATGTACACCAGCCCCTAACTAAATAAAATTATGAAGCTTTCAGGTTTACCTCTTGACAAGACTCCTGCTCCCATTTGTGATTTCATGAATGTGAAATACCTTTTCACCATTTCTGTTCAAGCTTAAAGTCAAAACGAATAAAGCCTAGGAGATAGCAGTTCAAAGCTTGATCTGAATACTTCCTAACAATGTGATCTTTGATAAATTACCTAGCCTTTTTGTATTGATACATAATAATCATACATTTTTGGGGGGCACATGTAATAATATATTTTGATATACAACATATAATTTGTATATATAATATAATATTTTGATACATGTGTATAATGTGTAATGATTAAATCAGGGTAATTACAATATTCATTACTTCAAACATTTACTATTTCTTTGTTAGTAACATTCCTAATCTTCTAGCAATTTTGAAATGTGCAATACTGTTAATTATTGTCACGCTACTGTGGTATCCGTAAATATAATTTATTGTATATTATACAGTATCAAACACTACAGCTTATTCCTTCTAATCTTATTTTTGCACCCGTTAACCAGTCTCTCTTCATCCACCCACCCCCCTCACCCTTCCCAGCTTCTGGTAACCATCAGTCTACTATCCCCTTTCATGAGAGCAATGTTTTTAGCCTCCACATATGAGTATGGACATGTAATACTTGTCTGTGTCTGGCTTATTTCACTTAACATAATATCCTTCAGTTTTATCCATGTTGCTGCAAATGGATTTTGAGCCACAGTTTCTATATTTGTAAAATGAGACCAGTAACTATTTCTTTGCATTTTTTTTGACAATTATAGAATATTTATTTAAAAACCCCGAAACCCAGTAATGGTTCCATTAATAATAGTTATTGTATAATCAGACACTTCTAACTTGTAATTAAGTCTCTAATGTCTTTCAAAACTGCTGAATGTTTATTTTATATGTCAGAAAATTTTCATGATTTATCCATTGTACTCAATGTCTACTCAAGCTTCCTCCAAGATTTATGTAATCAATTTGAGGCTTAAAGGCATAGTTAGAGACACAACCTTGTGAATTGCTTTGAAAAAAGTGTGGTGAAGCAACACAGCATGTCATATACTGTTTGGACAGTCTCATCAATTTGCCTCTGCAAATTAAATTGTGTGGCAGCCCCTGGACACAGTAAGCAGAAGTACTCTTGGAAATCTTTATGGATTATCTAGATTTCCACATATTTAAATCATGTATCTTAATTTCTTCATTATGGCTTTTTCCCATCTAATTAAAATATAAACTATTGCGATAGTTCTGTCTTTTCTCCTTAATTTAATTTAAAATAAACTTGACATATTTCTCCATTTTTCTTATTTTTGGTTTAAGCAACAAAATATTGACTTAGGCAATCGTGTTAGCCCATTAGGGTCAGAGTATATTGAAAATCAATGGGGTTGTAATGCCAAAATATAAATACATAAATATGTATTGTAGATTGTTGTATATTAATTGAGACATAAATAGTAAACAATAAGATTGAACTATTAAATTAATAAGGGCAATTGGGTGTCTTTTAATGTCTACATATAGTCGTTAATGTATAACTGGATGTGTTTATCCAGCATGTAAATTTTGCTATGTGCCTAACAGGTGTAAGACACAATAATAGGAACTTGATATATATAAAGTTTAATAAAGTTATTTAACTTTTAGGAGCCTGTAACATGACAGAATAAATGGAGATCTCAATAAATAATAAAAAATAAATAAGAATAAAGATCCGTGTTATAAAGTGAAATGCATAAGAAAAATTCTCACATAAATCTCAGAGACAAACCACATGCAATAAATCAAGTCAAAAATCTGAAAGAAAACTATAGAAGAGGACATTTTTGAGACCCTTGATTACACATGTAAGTTAGGTTTTATGCAGTAGGTAATAAGAAAAATTCAAAAGGTTGTGCAAACAAGGATAAAATGGTCAAAACTGTATTTTAAATCATTAGTCTTCTAAAATAATGAAGTTGATCCTGATTTGAGAGAGGAGACAGGAGTAGAGATCAAACACAAGGGGATAATTAGAGGTTTGTTGGAATGAGAAGCAGTTATGGACTAATTCGATGGTAGAGCAGTGCAAATCAATAGAAAGAGATATATTTGAGAGATGAAAAGAAGGTAAAATTGAGAAGTGTTGAAAAGTAGCTATAAACTGGTTATTAACAAAAACCTTAATTTTATAATAAAAATGAATTATGAAAATATTAAATAGTGAAGTTATACCCTTAAAAGGGCAACGTGGTTGCAGATACTTATTATAGAAACTAAGCTAAGTTTACTCTAGAGGAAGGAGTACATTCTCATAAAGCGATTTTAGGATTGCATTTACTTTCATGAATTAACACACTACCTCTATATAGAGGATTCTTTTTAAATATTGTTTTAATTTTTAATTTTTATGGATAGATAGTAGGTTTATATAATTTGGGAGTAAATAAGATATTTTGGTACAGGTATGCAATACATAATAATCACATCATGAAAAAGTATGCAGTTCATCCCCTTCAAGCTTTATCCTTTGTGTTACAAACAATCCAATTATACCTTTTTAGTTATTTGTAAATGTATAATTAAATTATATTTGACTATAGTTACCCTGTTGTGCTATTAAATACCAGGTCTTATTCATTCTTCTAACTATTTCTTGTACCCATTAACCTTCCCCACTTCACCTCTGCCCTCACCCCACTACCCTTCCTAGTCTCTGGTGACCATCCTTCAATTCTCTATCTCTATGAGCTCAATTGTTTTGATGTTTAGATGCACAAATAAATGAGAACATGCAATGTTTATCTTTCTGTGTCTGGTTTATTTTACTTAACATAATGACCTCCATTTCCATCCACCTTGTTGCAAATGACCAAATCTTATTTTTTTTAATGCCTGAATAGTACTTCATAGTGTACAAATAGCACAATTTTCTTGATCCATTCATCTGTTGATGGACACTTAGGTTGCTTCCAAATCTTGGCCAATATGAACAGTGATGCAACAGACACAGGAGTGCAGGCATATCTTCTCTATGTTGATTTCCATTATTTGAGGTATAAACCCAGCAACGGGATTGCTGGATCATTTATGAGCATATTTTTTTGTTTTTTGAGGAACCTCCAAACCATTCTCCATAGTGGTTGTACTAATTTACTTTCCCACCAACAGAGTATGAAGGATCTCTTTTCCCCATATCTTTGTCAGCATTTGTTATTGTCTGTCTTTGGGTATAAGGCATTTTATCTGTGGTGAGACGATATTTCAGACAATTCTTACACACTCAAAAATGCCCAGCATCTAGAGTTTCTTAATTATTTTCCTGACATTCTAAATTTCACAAGCCCCAATTTAGCTTTACATTTCCCTGCAATCAGTTCTTATTTCTGCGCTCTGTAGCCCAGTTAACGGCTTCACTATAAATCTGCTTCCCACACATAGACAAATTAAAAAAAAAAAACCTTCTTGTCATGAGTGATGATTATTACAGTGTTCTCTTGGACTTTGTCTTCCTTTTAAAGACCTCTGAAGGGTCTGAAATTTACCATACTTTCAACGTAACTGAAGTCATGTTTCATGCAAACCTTCATGTCAACAGGAGACATTAGACTCCTGAGTTAGAGGGAAGAACTGTGTTTCTTATATCAAGGGAAGCAGCATGAGCTTCGTGTTCACATTTTTGGCCCTTGCCTTCCCAACACAACAGGGGCCACATGGAGTGGTCCAGTTGAAAACCGCACACACAGTGAGTTTGTATCACAGCCGAGAAACTCCAAACTTAGAAAATCCTAGTGTTATTAAAGGAGCTACTAGCAAACCCACCTGATCTTTGTCTTTGAGGACGACGTTATCTTTATTATTATGGTCAGGAATCATACCTGCCCTCTTCCCTGAAGGGAAATCATCTCTCCATTTTCCAAAGCTGCTTGTTATACAAACATCCTTGACAAGATAGTCCAGAAAGCTGACACAGAAATGCTATGGAGAATTGTCTCCTGAAACTCATTACCTGTCACATCTGGCTCCCAATCTTACCCCCAAACCCTTGGGAGCCACCATTCTACTCTGTTTCCGTGAGTTGAACTCTTCTTAGATTCCACATGTATGTGAGATTATACAGTTTCCCTTTCTCTGTCTGGGTTATTTCTATTAATCTAATGTCCTCCAGGTTCATCCATGTTGTCACAAATAGCAGGATTTTATTTCTTGTCTATGACTGAATAAAATTCCATTGTATATATATCTATATTTATAAATACCTAGGTCTAGATTTATCTCCAATTTTTATTTGTTGATGGACACTTAGATTGTTCAGACATCTTTGCTAATGTGAATAATGCTGAAATAAACAGGTGGTACAGATATCTCTTTGAGATATGAATTTTATTTTCTTTGGATATATGCCAAGAAATGAGATTGATCATATGTTCCTTTTTTAATTATTTTATTTATTTATTTTTTAAATTTTTAGAGGAAACTCCATACTGTTTTCAGAACTCTCTCATTAGATTGTTCATTCAGTCCTACACATATTCAACAACACATTTTTTTCTTTATAATATTTTATGCTTCTATTAAGGCAAGTTTCCACTTATTGCAATCTTTTCCAAAATTTGTATAGCATTTGTCCCTTAATTTTTAAAATAATCATTTTGGTGACAGCCTATATTTTATCTTGGGAAGGAATATTAACCTAAAACACCACAGAATTCCCAGGTGCTATATTTTTATGCATGAAAATATAGTTCTTCCTGCAGAGACCATCTTTAAATCAATAAGCCATGTGTGCCTGATATTAGAGGCCTGTTTAAAGATGCTATAATGAATCATGTCTCAGGCTGGAGCAGGGAATATGGAGCCATTTAAGAATTTTTTTATTGAATATGGGGTTAATGTACACAAAGAAGCCCTTCTTGTAATGATGTAATATGAAATTACAATGGAAGTTTCTAATATAATAAAATGCTGGACAAAAAAGACACAGTATATACAGTAAGATCTTTTAATAACTTCAGTGTTTAATAGTTGCCAGTGGAAGCTTTGAAGAGATGACCTTGTTGGAGTTCTGGAAATGCTGGACTCTTCATAAACTGAGACATGTCAAGGGTTTGAGTTCCCCTCCCAAGGTTAAAAGCAGTTTAGCCTCAAGCTCAAAAGATGATAACCAGATTGAATGCCAATCACATTTTATTTTGACTTTTAGAAAAATTCTGCCAAGATGAACTATAAAAATAAACACAAATGGGATTTATGGTAGTTTCAAGGAGGTGCCTTGGGCCAACTTTCAAGATCAATGAATGTGTTTTGACTCTAATGCTTAGAATGACTCCATTATATACCTTGGAGTAAATAGCTTATCTAATGTTATTCTTTTGGAAAATGCAATAAATGGAATTTTCCTCATCAAAACTAAGTGTTTATTATTAGAATCAAGTTAAAGTTATGGATTCTTCTATACAAAGTTGTTATAAATCCTGAAATAGATTTTTTTACTGAATTGTGTAGGTCACAGAGGACTTCTTTCTGGAAACACCGTATATCTATTTCTCCACTGGAGCATAATATCTAGAAATAAACTTTTACGAACCAGAAGGAAATGACAGAGGCTACACAATCTAACAAAGGAATAGTAAATTGCAGCAGTTTAGAATCACTCAAAGGAGAAAAAAAGCAAATGTCACAATCCATTTTCATTTAACAGAAGATTTCTAAAATGCTTACAAGCTCAATGAAAAAGGCCAAAATTACAAAAAATAATTCTAGGGGCATAGAATTAAAATAAGCACTTATTCATATATGATCGTTAACACACATATATTACCACCACACTCTTTGCTACTAGGGCATATTAGCATAAAAACCAAATACACTGTTCTACATATCACATATGTGAACTCAGTAGGAAATGGACTTGGTATTCTTTATAGATTATTAAACCATTGGCAAGAAGATATCAATGATACATTTATAAATCTGTTCACTTATAGTAGAGGAAATTACTAATATAATGCCTTAGAGCAAACAACGTGAAAATCTCAGGGTTTCATTGGAAATAAAATGTATTTATTTATTCACTGTTTAATAAACAGGCATTTTGTACCATTATGCTCCCAGACACTGTGCTGGTCCTATTTATGAAAAGATCCATGAGAATTTGTCTTAAAAAAGACCTCACAGTCCAGGATAGACTGATGGTGAAGCTTATACTACTGAGAGACAAGATTGTTTAATTTTCAAATGCATTGGGAATATTTATTTATTTACAAAAGCAAAATTAACCTCGATAAACTCAAAATCATAGTACTGAAAACTGAAAGCAACACCAAAGGTCACTTTACATAGGATAAAACTGACAGATCACATAATGGGTTGGAGATACGAAACTAGTATGTGGTCCATCAGACTAGACTTGTATTCTTTTAACTATTCCTTCCGGAGGTTCCTAAGGTCCAGTCAATAGAGCATGTCCAGTTAATTCCAAACAGTACGTTTAGTCTCAGTCATGAAAATGAACCTTTCAGACATTTCGTGATAAACTTTTTATCAACATTAAAATTTTGTTTGTACTAATATTGAAACTTTGTTGTTGCTAATATTGAAAATACAGGCCAGGTGGGGTGGCTCACACCTATAATCCCAGCATTTCACGAGGCAGAGGCAGAAGGATCACTTTAGCTCAGGAGTTTGAGACCAGCCTGGGGAATATAGGGAGACCGTGTCTCTATAAAAAATTTCAAAATTCGCCAGGCATGATTGTGCACACCTGTAGTCCCAGCTACTGGGGAAGCTGACGTGAGAGGTTCACTTGAGCCCAGAAGGCGGACGTTGCAGTAAGCTAAGATACCGATATTGCGTCATTGCACTCCAGCCCGGGCTACAGAGTGAGACCCTGTTTCATAAAATAAAAGAAAGTACATGTTGTCATAGTATAATAAAAAATATTAAGCAAACCATCACTTAATGTAGAAGAGCATAGTATTATAGAAGAGGATACAACTTTCTGTGAATAAAAATAATAAGAGGCAAATGTAGAGAAATAGTTTTCAGTCTCCTTGGCAACTTTATCTTATAAACTAGGTGGTAAAATGCTGAGTGGGAATTTTTATGCCATCACAGAATTTCTGCCAAGAACAAAAGCTTAGGGCAGGGGTCACAAGTTATCTGCATGTTCTAAAGAGAATGACAAGAAGTTGCCAGACACTCCCACAGGCACTTAGTAAAGGTATATTTTCACAACCTTCAGGTAGACAAAAAGTACAAAAGAAAGAAAGACAAATCAATAAATTGGATAATTTCAAGTTTAAAATTTTTGGCTCTTCAAAATATACCAAGATAGATTAGTGAGATGATCAACATGTTAATTAATTTCATTTAATCATTTCACTTTGTATACATAAATCAAAACATCACATTGTATCCAATAAATGTATACAATTGTGATTTGTCAACTATAAATAATGTTAATAAAAATATATGAAAAACACAACAAAACATAAAAAGGAAAGCCATAGCCAGGAGAAAATATTCTCTATAGTGTTAGTAAGAAGGCAAATTGTTGCAACTACTTTGGGAGCTCATTTTCTACAAATGTGATCATACACTTACTACGTGACCTAGCTATTCCACTTCTTCATATTTGTCCAAGGTAATGAAAAGTAGGTATACACAAAGACTTGTAAATGAGTATCCATACCAATCTTATTCATAGGAGTCCCAAACAAAAACAATTCAGATTCAAAATATGAATAGGTAAACTAAACCTAGTCAATTCATACCAAAAGATACAATAGAATCAAACCAAACTACATCAAAACAAACAAAACAAAAAGAATACTAATGCACATAATAGCACGGATGAATCTCAAAATAATGTTTTGGGTAAAAGAAATCAGACACAGTATTATTCTACTTACATAGAATTTTAGAACCCATAAAACTAATAAATAGTGAGTGAAAGCAGATCAGTATGTGCTTGAGATAGGGAGTAGGGGAGAGTGACCAAAACAAACAAAAAAAAAAGATAGGAGGGGTCTTTTGGGATAATGGAAATATTTGATATCTTGAAGAGGTTACATAGTTTTATACATTTGTCAAAACTCATTGAAGTATAAATATGAAGTCCATGCATTTTATTCTAAGGAAATTATGCTTCAATATCATCTGATGGGGAAGAAAATATACTTGGAGATAACGAACTATTAACACCTTGAAGTGAATGTGTTTACAAAATACCTGAAGTTCCATGTGACTCTATGAGTGGAGGAGTTCATTATTTAACCCTAAAAAACATAGATGATATTATCTTCTTGTTCTAGAATATCCTATTATCCTGAGGGCTAGTTTTGGCTCCGAGAATGTGATCAACTTAATCACTAATAAAGAGGTTTTTAGAAGGGTAAGCTGACATATAATTGCTAATTACTAAGTGTAGTTTAACTGTTTGTCTACATAATATTTAAATTCAGTAAAAACTATATAGGTCATTCTATGATTTTTTTGTATGTACATGTAACTATATGACACACAGCCTGACTGATAAACTATTAAATGGAACATTTTTGGAGTCTTTATCTAATATTGATATTTACTTTCTGATCTAATCACAAAGAAATTGCAGTGTGTTTTAGTCTGTTACTGTGAGCCAGTATTTCTAACAAAATGTAAAACTACAATACTACCTCCTATATACCTCAAAACTATTGAAAATATCATATATAGCAACAAAATAATAATAATAAACATTAGTTGGAGGGCTTGGTATGTGTCAGGCACCATTCTAAGATTTTATATATTTTCCCTCATTTAATCATCATGACAACCCTCTGAGAAAAGCATTACTATCATTTCCTAATTCAGTGAACGAGAAAACATATGCTTATCATGGTAAGTAACTTTATTCAAGGTATTTTTAGTAATAAAGAACTAATTTAATATAGTAATTTGGTTTCTTAAGTTTGAAGTATGTGTTATTCAGGATAAACCTCTGAGACAAGAAACTGATAACTGTTCTGTAAAAGATATTTTAAAAGATGTTTATACAATATCTACCTTGGCTACCTAATCAAGCAGCTTATCAGATATAAAAGTGGAATTCACAACATGGCACTTTAATGATCTGTCTCCTAAAATTTTGCCCCTGGCTGCTTTTACCCCTTAGGAAACATGCAGTTGATTAGTTCTTTCTTTAGGACCCCTGGGAAACAACATTCACCTGAGGAGCCTTCCCAGCAGGGCAAAAGAGCTCTAGTTCAATCTTTCATTTCAACATTAACTCTGAGGAGTCTGCTTTCTACAGTTTTAGTATGACCCCAACCTAGGAATGAGAAAATTGGAATAAGTTATGCAAACTAAAAATATCTACATAACAGGAAATAATTTGCAAATTTCAATGTGGCCTCCAACTCTTTGATACATTTACTGTGATACAGATAGCATCAATATTGAGAAATCCAATTTAAAAATATTTAGCAACTTTTACTTTGGGATTTTATTGGAAGAAAAAATATCCAGGGAGTTATCGTTTTTAAAAAACTAAGAATGCTATGCAAAACTATGCTATAGATGTATTTGGTTTTTGCTCTTGATTTATTTGTTATTATTTTTCCTCATGAAATCATCATTAATTGTGTCTATATTTTGGAATGTAAATGAAGTAGCATAGGTTCAATCAATTTAAAAATGCTATCCCCTATTCATACTGAGCTTTGGAGCAACAACTATGTGCCAAACACATTTTAGGTGATTTTTCATACATAAGTAATCTACAGGGATTTTCTTTTCTCTTTTAAGTATTCAAATTCCCAGTTTATGATCTGTTTCCAAAGGAATAGACAGTAGGCCTGCTCTAAAATAATTGTTAAAGAAAGTTGTTTGGACAGCAGATAAATAATACCAGAAAGAAACCTGTAGTATCAATTGGTAAAAATATAGATAAATATAATATAATAGTTTTATTCTCTTGAGTTCTTTAAAATATGTTTAAAAGTTGAGGGAAACAATTATAAAATTTCTGAAATTATTTTAATGTATGCACATGTAATATATGACAACTATAGCATAAGATTTAAAGATGATTTATATGGTGGTAAGATTTCTACATTCAAATTGAGGTGCTAAAATCATGATTCTAAATAGACTGAGTACAATAATATATATATTTTGTAATTCCTTGAGAAAACACTAAAAACATTCAATTAAATATAGTCAAAATTACTATAGCTAAATTAAAATGAGATAATAAATCATGTACAAATAACCCAAAAGAAAGATGAAAGGATAGGTGGACTAGAAACAGAGACAACAAATAGAAAACAAAGAAAATGTGTACCCAAATTCAAGCATTATCAGTGATAATAAATGTAACTGGTTTCATCACACCAATTAAAAGATAGATATTTTAGGAATAAATTAAAAATATGACCCAATTATGTGAGTTTTTCAAGAAACTCATTCGAAGTAAAATTAAATGGAGAGGTTGAAAGAATAAAATAATGTAGAAAAGCTATTTTATGTTACACAAATAAAAAGAAGTAGTGGCTATACAAATATACCAGAACTGTAAAATTGGAAATTGCAATAAATATACCACTTAAAATAGTTTTGATATCAAATAAATTCTTAGATACAAATCTAACAAAACATGTACAGGATACCTATGCTGAAAACTATAAAACACTGATGAAAGAAAATTTTAAAGAGCTCTAAATAAAATGAGAAGCATTCCATGTTCATTAATTGAAACACAAAATATGAATCATGTGACTTATCCATAAGTCTATATTCCAAATCTTATTCATAAATTGATTTATAGACTTCATCCAATACCAATCAAACTTTGAGCATATTTTCTGTGCATGTAGACAATTGGTTCTAAAATCTATTTGAGTACAGGAACTACACAGGTACAGTTAGATAAATCTGAAAAATAAAAGAACTAAAGTAGCTAACACATTTTGACAAAAATAAATTTTGTTTAAATGAGTAATACTACCAAATTCTAAGAATCACTCTAAAGCTATACTAATATTGTGTGATATTGGTGAAAGGATATATATGTAGATCAAAGTAACAGAATATAGAGTTCAGAAATAAACCCACACACATATGGTCATTTGGTTTTTGATCAACACATAAAAGAAATTCAAAAAATAAAGGCTCATCTTTTCAATCAATAGTGTTGGATCAACCGATCAGCTATAAGTTAAGAAAAATTAATCTCAAACCAAACCTGCTACTTTTATTAGAATTAACTCAAAATGAATGATTGCTCTAAATATAAAACAGAAAACTATAAAACATTTACAGGAAAATGTAAGAGAAAACCTTCATGACGGGATTATATGAGGAGTTCTGAGACACGATAACATAAAAGTAAAAATGTCAAAAATATGAATTAATTGGACTTTAGCAAACTTAAAACTTTTTCTCTTTAAAATATTCTGTAAAGAGATAACAAACTTTACACTGGGAGAAGATATTTGACAAGAACTTCTCTCCAGTATATATAAAGAATGTTCAAAATGCAATAATAAAAAGCCAAATTAATCACTGTGCAAAGTCTTGAACAAAAACTTCACCTAAGAAAATACAAGATGAGTAAATCAGATAAAAAGATATTTAACATCATTAGTCATTAGGAAAACACAAATTAAAACCATAATAAGATATCACTACTCATCTATTAGAATGGCTGCAATTTAAAAATATGAACAATATCAAGCACTGGGGAGGATGCAGAGCAACTGGATTGCTCATCTGTTGCTGATAGGAACATAAAATGTTATAGACACTCTGGAAAATGATTTGGAATTCTTTCATAAGTTAGTTCTTATTATATGGCCCAGTGATGTATCTCTTAGATATTTATCCTAGATAAATCTTCAGACAAATATCTCAAAAAAAATTTTTCAAAGAAGCTTTACTTGTAATAGTTCAAAACTGGGAAGAACTCAAATGTCCTTCAGCAGGTAAAGAGATAAACACTAGTACAACCATACAATGGGATATTACTCAGAAATGGAAAGAAATGAAATATTAATACAACAGCCTGATACATTTCAAAAGCATGTGCTAAATGATAAAAGCCAATCTCAAATATTACATGCCATATTATTATATAATATTCCTGAAATGGAAAATATAAAGACAAAGAACAAATCCACCTTTGCCATAGATTTGTGTTGGTGGGAGGGTGGAAAATGGGGTGCAAGTATAAAGGGGTACGATGGGGAAGTTTCTTTGGGCTAACAGTTTTGCATCCTGATAATGCATGGTTACATGGTTACATGTTTTAAAATTCACAGAAATGCATACCAAGATTTTTTAAAGTTATTTTTACTATATGAAAATGTTAAAACAAAATTAGAAAAATGAAATGGGGAATTGCTGAGTAAAGATGACTCAGGAAAAATAGAGGTCTCGCACAAGCTGATTCTTGTTCAACATTGCAAAGAACTCAGCAATATCTGTTATGGGGCCAGTCACACAGTAGTCATTTTAAGTTTGAATTGCAAAGATGTATGACCAAGACTAAATTTGAAATGGTCCCCAAGTGTAATAATTGAAAACTCAAAAACACAGGTACATATTTTGTCATTTCAATCGATTAAATATAAATTATGCTAAAATATTTATTAAAATGGCATAATTAATATATTTTTCTGAAATGAGACAAAAATAAATTTTAGAAAACAAACATAAAATGGTTTTTGATTTAAGATATCTTTATACTTACATGAACATCACTAGCCTATAAAGGAAAACTGAGGCATGCACAATAATAATTAAACACATCCTATTTTAAAAATATTTTGCTAACTTGCAGCTACATAAAGACCATAGTTGTACATATATTTTATTTGGTCTTTCTGAACGCATATTTGTCAAATTGAGAATGCATAGCACCATGTGAGTCAGCTTTTGCTGCGGTAATGCAATTTCACAAACAACTCTAAAATTTCAGTGACTTTATAAAAAGATTTATTTTTACTCACATTACAAATTACAGCTGCAAATTGGCTGTAGCTCTACAGCTCTGCTCTAGGCTGCGGATGAACTGTGAGTCTGTTGCTATGTGTTCTCATTGTCAAAAGTAGTTGTACATCTAAGAATAAGTTTTTTTTCTGATAAAAATCTAGAATGCAGTGGCATTTTATTTTTTTTTAAAGTCAGCCCTAGAAATCTCTTAATTGGGAATTGTACATGTTTTGGGAAATACCTTAAATATCTCTCTGGGGTAAGCGATCAGAATAACATAGCAAAAAACCTAAGCCCCTTGCCAATGTACTAGAAAAGAAAGTTAAATTGTTCTGAGGTTTTCTGTTGTTGTTGTTTTGTTTTGTTTTGTTTTGTTTTTAATTAGGGGATGTGGGAGGGGAATAAATGGAAAAAAAGGAGGGAAATGGATAGTGGAGCCATTGAGATAATATAAGACTGAGTATTGTTAGAATAAAGTTGGCACAAAAAAATATTCCAAAATTAGAGGAATTTAACAGTTGTCAGGTTGATGATATATTGTTACACAATAAATACTCTGCAGTCTTCTTAATTCCTCAGTAAAATCTTCTAAACTCAAATGCCTCATGGAGAGAGTATTTTGGTGAGGAAGGTGGTGAGTTTCACTTTGTAGTCAAACTGGCTTGAAAGAGAAACAGCAGCCACAGGATGGAAGACATCCCTCATCCTGAACAAACTTGCTGGGACACGTGTTTGATACCAGAAGTGACCATGGAAAATAGAAGTTCTTTGGGAATTCTCCAAAATCTAGGGAATGACTTTGAAATTCCATTGGCCAGAAAATGGGGAATGAAGGTGGCATCATCGGGCAATCTTAACAAGTCACAAATGGCAGGGAGGGACACTCCAGTTCCATTAGAGAAATAATTGACCATGTTTTTTCTAATGTGATCACAGCCATTAAAATCATGGCTCACTTGTAGCAAACATGTGGCACATTAGTTTTTATATTTTACATCCCATTCTTGGTTCTACCTTACAATGCTATCATAGGTTATCATTTTGCTTATGTTCCACTCTTTATTATTACTTCTTTTTTATACCTTAGGCTTGTGCTAACCCTCCTAAAATTGTGCTTGGAATATGATGAGGAAGGGAGGGAAGAAGGAAAGAAGAGAGGAAGAAACTAGCAGGTTTCCAAAAATGTTGGCCTTACTGTACCTGAATTTTTTCTGTTATTTTACTTGCTCTTCATCAGGTTACCATCAGTAGTTCTTTACCGTCTCCATACCCCTTGTAATATGCATATGTAAAATATAATTCTTATGATAAATGAATTCACATATATCTATTCATAAGATGATGTAACAAATCTGCCATATAAGTAGGATCAATTTTCTCTGATTGCTCGACACTCCACTACCCTTCTGGCAAACAAGAGCATACATTGACATGATCCCTTCCAGGATTTAAAGTTCACTTTTTAGTAAGAAACCCAAAAATTCTGTCAACTAGATTGGGAATAAATTAATGACTTTACAATCAGAGTAACAATCTAATCAAGGAAAATCATTATTCTTACATTGTTCAGAGAAGTGCTGGGTAAAGGTTAGTATTACTGTTTTCTGCCTTTTCCCTTTGAATATCTCTTCAACTTTTTGGTAGCCTAGATATTGTTTATTTTTCTGGTGTTCTTCTCACTTCAGAATAACTAGGTACCCAGTGACCCCAAATGTTTAGTCTTCCCCAGCCTTGGTGCTTCCTTGTAGACCTTATCTCTACTGGACTTCCCCCCTGTCACCCTCCCCACTGACAACACCTGTTCATCTCATATTTTAAGGAACTAATTTCATTCCGTTATAAAATAGAGAAGAAAATTAGAAACTTGTATAGCTTTAAAAGGGAATGAGGTATATGAGACATATTAGTAATGTTCTCCCATACCCAGTAATTTCTTTTCTTTTATTTCTTGAGATGGAGTCTCGCTCTGCCACCTAGGCTGGTGTAATTTTTGTATTTTTAGTAGAGACGGGGTTTCGCCATGTTGGCCAGGCTGATCTCGAACTCCTGACCTCAGGTGATCCGACTGCCTTGGCCTCCCAAAGTGCTGGGATTACAGGTGTGAGCCACCATGCCCAGCCCCATACTCAATACTTTTCCAATTTAAATTTGATTCCAGTAGAAACAAAGCATAAACTAGATAATGACATATAGGGCTTTTACCCTTCCACCCCCATCCCCAGCCAACGAAAAAAAAAAGCGACTTATTGAGGAAATTGCAATCATTCTCTCTTTGCTTTGCATCAGGAATTTCCACCGAGAACTACAAAGGGAGTCCACAGGTGGTGTAGCCCCAGGTGTTGAAAGGATAATAAGGTCCTATAAGCAATAATACCCTTGTAGAGCTTTGCAGAAGAAAAGATAGCAAAGAAAGGTGGTTAAATAAGAGAAAGGAGTAGACAGAGATATCATTGTAGATGAATGGTGAGCCTAGAAGCCTGGTGGCTGTCTAGCTCTGAGTTATTAGAAACCCAGACAACTTATCTTACCCTTGGGTTCTATTTCCATCAATCTAATAGAAGCTCTAATAGAAGCCGTTGAAGAATGGTCTAGAGTAAAACTTCCCTTTCTGTGCAATTAAAATAACTTTGACTGGAAAATGATAATAAATGATCCCTAGGTTCCATTAGCATCTGCCACATTTTGCTTTCATAATATCCAGGTCTACATTAGTATTCGTCACCTTGTAATTATTAGTTGGCATTCTCACTTCCCCACCAGACAGTTCAGAGCACTGAGAGCATCTGTCATGTTGGTATTAGTACCAATGCTAACATTTTACCTATAGCTAAAAATAATTGTTTAATTGATTAATGGAAAATGATTCCATTTAAAAAATAGAACCCATTTCTCTCTATCCTCTTATCCCACCAACTTGAGGAAAAAAGAGCAGAATCATAACAATACAAGGTCAGTCACATCAATGGAGAAAGGAGATAAAATGAGATTGCAGTAAAAGTAAGGAGAAGGAAAATAATTTTAACTCCCATCGTGGTTTGAGGGAATGTTTAAAGGGATGCAGGTGGGAAAAGAAGACACCAGAAGAGAAGCTTTCATTTGTTATCTGCCTAGTAGCAGTGATATTTTAATATTTAAACCAAATGGCATATTTCCTAATAAAATAAATTCAGGCATTAACTGGATTTAGACACACCCCTCTCTTCACCTGCAGGCCGTGGTAGTTCCAAAACCTCAATTCCACTCTTCTCATTCTGGTGCAAAGCATAGTAGAAGAACAAGAATCTTCAAAGGGAGCAGGGCTTGCAATTACGGCCGCAGAAGGATCTCCTTCTTTTGTATAAATAGAAATTATCCAGTGCTATCAGTAATTCAAGGGTGAAACAGGTTGTAATCTATGTCTCTTGACCCTCTCAGGACCCAGGACATCAAGCTTTGGCAACTGGGTTGGGTGGCAGACTGGAGAGGGGCGAGTATAGTCCTCAGAGTTGTCACGGGATATATAAAAACACCTAGAAATCTGAAGGCACTTTGACTGCCAAGACTTGAAATTCATTCCCTTTACTCAGTAGAATTTCCATCATCTTTAACAAAGTTTCTCTGATTTTTTTTCTCAGTAATGTAACATCTGCATTATTCTCTTTTGACATCCTACGAAGGTCTCCATAAATATGCATTTTCCATTGAATTTATGATACAACCACACTGAGTGCATCCTTGACATCATGTCACTTCCTTAGTCATGCATTGACATTATAATGTTATTTACTACAGAGTAGCATTGACAGCATCTTGAGAACACTGTGACAGCATTTTAGCTGCCACGAAAGTGAATATTGAAAGGGCATTTGAACAAAAATCATTTGGATGAAAAAAAAAATAGAACCTAAAGGTAGTGATCATAGTTTCCTAAAACAATTTTACAACCTAGATACTTGTTGGAAATCTACTCTAGTTCGGTGATAGATGAGAGACTAAATGTTGCTCCTTTTAAAAATACACAAATAAATTCTGTCTGAAACAGGATGGTAGAAAAAAATCCAGAAATCTTCACACTGGTTTTTGAATGCATAGCATTTTTATTATCCACCTTTTCAGGCTTTTTGTCAAACGATTTTATCAGTAAATTGTCAATCTACATTAAAATAGACATTTTGCAAGTGTAAATTATGATATACATTTTAGCAAGAAAAGCATAGACTATCTCTAAGATAAAGAAGGACTGTTTTTTCCTTAACCTTTAGAGTAGGCCAAGAATCTGTTTAAACCCAGTTATTCATGGCATTGGCTATCACTATTATCTTCTAATTTTTTTTTTGTTTTTTGACAGAATCTCCCTCTGTCGCCAACCTGGAGTGCAATGACACAATCTCCACTCACTGCAAGCTCCGCCTCCCAGGTTCAAGTGATTCTGCTGCCTCAGCCTCCCAAGTAGCTGAGACTACAGGTGCCTGCCACCATGCCCAGCTAATCTTTGTATTTTTAGTAGAGATGGGGTTTCACCATGTTGGCCAGAAGAATGGTCTCAATCTCTTGACCTCGTGATCCACCCGCCTCAGCCTCCCAAAGTGCTGGGATTACACACTATTATATTCTGCACTTATTTATAATTGCTCTTGTAGAGTTTAATAGCTGTCTGCAGGTACTATTGGCAGAAGAATGGAAGAAGAAAAAGTGAAATTATATAACTAATATTTATGTAGTGCCAACTCTGTGCCAAATGCTGCTTACCAAACATTTTATGTGCATAACTTCATTTAGTTATGGTAAGAATTCTGTGGGATGTGTACAGTTATTACTCACACTCTGCTTGGTAGAAATCGCCTTCAAGAGATGAACCACTTTCCTGCAAGCACAGTACTAGTAATGGAGTTGGGAGTTGAACATGTGTGACTCTATGTTACAGTGCCTCTTGAAAAAATAAAGGGGGAAAAATAGGGTCAGAAATTTCCACATGGCGGTAATGGTTGAGCACACCTACAAATGATCCGGCTCATGAAGAAGGCAACTCCATTCCCCATTCCTGCAGAGAGGCTAGTGGTAGGCAAGTGTCTGACCTATAGCAATGTTTCATGGAGTCAGGATGGAATTACCAGATGATGTCTGAAAAGGACTGAAGAAAGGCTTCATTTCAAGAGTATGAATGGGCTCCTCTAGTAGCATCATTCAGCACTACCAAGTCCTTTGAGTTTTAGGCTGTTTGCTACTGCTACTCTGGCAAATAATTTTGATGAATAATTTACATTTAGAGCTAAGCATAATGGGGTATCTATTAACAGTTTAGGTTTTCGTTATGTATTCAGAGATGTTTAAGATGTTTTCATAGTCTATTTTAATTTAAGTTGTAGCTTTTTATGGTTTAATTAAAATTTAACTTCTTATTTTGATTATCTTAAACATACTTTATGCCAAATGTTATTAATTTGCCTCAACTGTATTATCACAGTGACAGGCACAAATTTATTAGCCCTCTAATACTGTGCTTCAAAACAGATTATTAGAGCAAGGGAGGATGCAATGCTTCTTAGAAGCCTTGTGGGGAGACTGAGAACCAGGGAAATATGGACATCGGGGTAAATACCAGAGATAGCAGTAGCTGTCAGGTAATCTGTGCAAATTTATTTAATGGTCAATAGAACTTAAATGTGTTATATTTTAGTACAATTGTTACAGTTTGCTGATGACATAATCTTACATATAGAAACCCCTAAAGGCATCACAAAAAACTATTAAAACTGATAAACAAATACAGTAAATTGCCAGCATACAACATCAATACGTAAAAATCAGTAACAGTTTTCTACACTTAACAACAAACTATTCCCCCCAAAATAAAAAAAATCAATTTATGATAGCAATATAAAAAATGAAATTCTTAGGAATTAACGCAACTAAGGAGGTGAAGAATCCATACATTGAAAATTACAAATCTTTAATAAAAGAAATTCAAGAAGAGACAAATAAATATAAGGATATCTTACGTTTATAATTTGGAAGAATTAATATTGTTTAAATGTCCATACTGTCCAAAGTGATCTACAAATCAGTGTAATCTTTAACAAAATTTCAATATCCTTTATCACAGAAATAGATAAAAGTGATCCTAAAATGTATATGGAACCACAAAACACCATGAGTAGCCAAGGCAATCTTTAGTAAACAGAACAAAGCTGGAGACATCACATTGCCTGGCTTCAAATTATATTACAAAGCTATAGTCATTAAAACACTATGGTTACAAATTCTTTACTTACCATTAGTCAATATAGTTATCAGGATCTTCCGTGCTCAGTGAAATCTTATCAAATAGCCTTCAAATGCCGTTCAGGATATCAATATATTTTTTAGTTAAAATGCATTGTGTAGAGAGCATAATTGAGTAATGTTGGAACTTTTAAAATCTAACTTCCACTTTATCAGGACAACAGATAGACAATTCAATTTATTTCTGATTCTTTTATTTGGCCCTATGATGTGAATTAACTCATTCCACCATTGAAACCATGGCATACACTCAATGATGTCTTAAGGCAATTTTTTGAGAGAATATTTCCATATATACAAAATCATACTCTCACTGTTGAAATCAAATTGCCTTAAAACTTTCACTCCTAGATAGCTACTCTCCAAAAAAATCACTTAACAAAATTCCTTTTTCAATTATGCACTTAGTACGTGGAATAAAATGTGTGTTTCCTGAGGACTTTTAACTAAATGGATTTGTCTGTTAATCTTCAAATAATTCCTAGACATAGGAGCTGGATATTTTTTCAACATAATCAAACTGCTAGCTTGTTGTCTGCAGTTTAAAAAATGTTTAGCTTAAATAATTATATTGAAGGTGACTACTACTTGAATCTTTGAATCCACTATTAAGAATTATTCCTGGAGATTTTGCCTTTTATTTGATGTATAATGTAGGAAGCATATAATTTTGTTTTGTTTTGATGATAGATTGTGCCTCCAACAAGTTATTATCTATATTGGTAGACCAGACCAAAACATGAACACACACACTGTTTCTAGTAATGCCCTATACTCTAGTAATTTTCTGCTTCATTAGATTTTTTTCTAAAAGATCAAAGTAATACATGAACATGGGTGTATTAAAGTTATTAAAGTTATTAAAGGGTTTTTAAAGAGTAAAATTATATTGAAATGTTTATAATGAAGAACAATACATTCCTACCTCAATCTTTTTCTTTCCACCCCCAGACTAATCCTTTTTCTTCTTTCCTCACCATCAACTTCTTTCAATCTTTGCTTTTTTAGTTCATTTTGTTACTAACTCCACATCTCTAAATAATATTCTATGGTCTGTCAACTTTAGATATTGCTTAGTGACTTTCTGATACAGTAGGTAAGATTATATCTCATACCATTCACGTACTCCCTCCGAAAATATTGCTTTACCACTAACCTGACTTTACAACTCTAAAATTTCCAATAATATATTCAAGCCCCCATTTCCTTTGCTATTAAATACAGTAAGAAGACATAAGAAGATACAGGTTTATTACATTTTTGTTAACTCTTCTTAAATCATTGGATGTGTTGATTTGAAATTTCAAAACCAATATAATATTTAAACTATCATGGTTACATTTTAAAAATGTTATTCTCTGCAAAGGGAAGTTGTATGTTGGAATTACATTTCCTACTCTTAAGTTCTATGTTAGCCATGTACTACAGAAAGGAAATGTTCATAATATAAAGTTTAAGTTGACTCTCCATTTTGTGCTCTACCAAGTAGTTTTATTATATTTTGGATTTATGAAGTTGTTCATCATATTATATGTTCTATTGAATTCCTTTTATGTCTCATATCTCTATTCTCCTAGTGAATCCAAGCTGTCCTGGGACTTCTAAATCCTCTCAATGTTTTCTTGATCCCTTGTAGTACTCTTTTTTGATCTATAATTTTTCTTCACTGAAGTAAAAGCAGCTTTCAGTTTTATGTGGCATCAGTAACTACACGTCTGAAAATTGATGTGTTCTTCCTTCACACTTGTTTGTATTTTGTCTAGGTTTAGAATTCTAAATTAAACATCATTATTTCCCTCTACACTCTCAAAACTCGGTTAGGTTGTTTTCAGCACCTATTGTTGCTGGTGGAAGATCTAATCCTCCTGTAACTTAGTCCTCTGTAGGTGGCCTATTTCTGATTTTTGAAAGTCATTGGGATCTTACATTTACGTTTGGCATTCTGAGATTTCACAAACTATGGCCCTTTATTTGGATCTTTATTTTTTTAATTGATTCATTGTTCTGTAAGTAGCAGTGGCATCAATTTGGAAACGCTCTTCAGGGTTGCTAAACTAACTTCTATTATTACCTGATAAATGTATATTTTAAGAAAACATGAATATTAGTGAGAATGAAAATATTTGCAGAAATATTAGACTACAGATCAAAACACAGTGAAAATAGTATTCAACCAATATGAGTACTGGAAAGAGAGAACAGATAATACAAAATTATCAAGTTAGTAATATAAATTATCAGCAGGAAATTATCTAGGTAATAATAGAAGATAGTTTGGGAATTCTGAAGAGTAAATGTCTCCAAATTGATGACACTACTACTTACAGCACATTGAATCAATAATAAAAAAAAAAGATCCAAATACAGGATCATGTTCTCTTGAATAATACATTCTACTTCTTTAGAGAAAGCCTCCCCCAACCAACCCTATGTGGCAATTTGGCATGCAGGATAAGGAAACGTATCAAGCCTTTTTTTTCATATGGACTTTGTATATTTCCTTGTCTGCAGCATCTCTTTCTCTTCCTTTCTATACAGTGCCAACTTTGCAGAATTCAGAGCCTCTCTGAAATTCTTACTCTCTATGGCAGATCAGCTCCCTTCTAATTCACTTGGACCAGAAACACTGCATAGGTTGTGGCTTTTTCAGCTGTTATCTCTTTTTCAATCCACTCTCATCTCCCAGAAATGTGTTTAAATCTTTTGTCTGTTGATTATTAAATTCTAGTTATTTTATTTGTTAAGAGTTTCTGTCTTTAAAAATATATATATTTCATGTTTATGATTTATCATGAAAGAAAATAATTTATATATCTATCAAGTCTGCCATCTTGAATGAAAAATTTTAAAATCATTTCTAATCTAATCAAGAATTTATACTTTTAATTATTAATTTTAACTATATAATGTAGCAATCTTGTGAAGATTGTAGAATTTACTAAACATCTTCATATATTGTACCACAGTTAGATGCACCAAAGTATATATACATAATTTAAAGGACTTTACTATATAAAGTTGGCATAAATATTCCTCAGATTAGTGTTATAGTGCGAGTATTTTGGGTTTTTTTTCTTTTTATATAAGCCTACATATGTTGGCAGAAGTGTAGAACAAATGGAGCAATAGACTTGGAGTTTAAAGATGTATATGCTAGTCTTGTTATGTCATTATCTGGCTATGAAATGTTAAATTATATCTTGAAACTCATCTATTTAGTAGTCGAACACATTAAACATTAAGGACATTTTAAGTTCTAAATTTCAATATGCAATCGTACATTTCTTCACTGAGTTTTACAGGTTCTTAAAAAAATAATTAAGCTTCACTTGCAAAAACTTTAATTTTTCATCACCTAAATAAAATTAAAACAAAATGTATTTTTTTCAGCATTATGGGGTTTCTTCTAAACTGGTAATAGTAATTGTAATGCTTTTCATTGTCACATCCTTTACAAAAAAATTATTTAATTAACAAGTTGATCAAGGTTACAGAGAAAGCCTAGGAGATTTATTACCTCTCTGAGCCAGGCTGGGGTACATGTTCTGAACCTTGTTAGACTTTGCCAGTCTTGCCATTATTAATTAGGCTAGGGAATAGCAACTGACCTAAGGAAAGACAACATGTAGCCCGGCCAGCACTGACACTCTGACCAAATATGTTTAGGTAATTAGATAACACATAAAGATTTTCTCTTTTGATAGTTTCAAGAGAGAAATATGAAAAGTTGGTATTTGGAGTACAGGCTTAAATTATACATATGGAAAGCTCATGAAGCAACAGTGTGTTATATTGAGCCATGAGTAAAGTTCATTTTGAGCGTGAATAGAAGCAGGTAATTAAGGCAAATGAAGCAGCTACACGAAACGTGTTATAGGTAATAATAACAAAATACCTACAAAATATATTTTAGAAAATCAACTACCTACAGGCATTTAAAAGTGGCCAAATCAAGACATAAAACAAATTAGATTTTATTTTTGAAACACCCATCTGCAAAATAAAGAGTTGTGAATTTGTGGCTTTCTTGCTTGGGTTGATTTTCCAACCCACATGCATGATTACAACGGTTGCAAAACTACAGAATTTTCAATTTAAGGTGATAGAGGAGAGAATTTGGGGCTGGAAAATTAATTGAAAACTTAAGTGAGAAATATTTAAAGCAAAAAAGCAACAGGAATGAGACACAAAATATGAGTAAAAATACTGCCCAAATTCCCACATCAATAACTAAAATATATATGTGTAGAGGTGGCACCAGGGGTTCCATGAAAAAGAAGGCTTGTCCGGAGTGGAAACTAATCCTGAAAGAGATTGACAAAAGATGAGGTTTCTGAGTTTCCTATATATGTTTTTAAACTGTATGCACTCCCCTACCCATTCCCATATCAAGCAGCAGAACATTAAACATTATTGGCTTCAGGTGTCAAAAGATTGAAACGTTCAAGGCTTGCAGAACAACTGGTAATTTAAATAAGTATCCAAACAAGAAATAGATAGGTAATCCTCCTTCCAAAATCTAATCATAAAACCTCCCCAAATTATTGGGTAATTATCAAACCAAATAGTCACAGCAACGATCCACAGGGCCAGGATAAAACAGCAGCAGCTGGAATCTATCTGTACTAAGTAAAAGTAGCTGCTGTACTCTGGGAGAGAAGAAATTCAAGTGCAAGCAAGTTAACTGACTATGGATCAAACAACAACAACAACAAAAAGTCATCAAAATCATATAACAAAATCCAGGGTCGACACGATGTATTATCTAAAATGTCATGTTTTCAAACAAAAATTACTACGGATGAAAGACATGAAAGTAGGACCCATACTCAGAAAAATATATCAGTTAAGAGAAATTGATGATAAGCAGTTGAATTTAATGTACTATGACTTTAAAACAACTACTGTAAATAATCTTCAAGAATATTAAAAGTTGTTTTCAAACAACTAAAAAAAATCCTACTGTGAATAGATAAGATATATTAATAGATGATTTACAACTATACAAAATGGAAATTCTAGAACTAAAAACTAATACTGAAATTAAAAATTCAGTAGGTGCCATAAACAGCATACTAGAAATGGCAGAAGAAAAGATTAATAATTGAAAATATGAATATAGGTTACTCAATCTGAAATATGCAGAAAAAGAAGATTTTTAAAAAATTAACAGTTACTTATATGTAGAAAACTATCAAGAAGTTTAACGTAAATGTAAATTTAGTCATAGAAAGAACAAAGAGAATGAAAATGAGTAGCAAAAAATATTTGAAGTGACTATCAAACACTTTCATAATTAGATAAACAATACTAACTTACAGGTCCAAGAAACAAAAAGAAGTATAAATCTGAAAGAAAATTCTTTAGTCTAAGCAAAATGTCGTCAGATACTACCTTGAATATGTTGGAAGAAATGAAGAGCATCAGAAATGGTAAATATGTGAGTAAATTAAAAGTATACATATATATTTTTTACTTCTCTAAATATTTTTAAGAGAATATATGTTCATTTAAGGTAAGCCTTATAATAATTTATGTAATAATATATAATAAGTAATAATATATAATCATTTGTATTATAATGTGTAATGACACAATATATATGTCAATAGTAGCTCTAGGTATAGTGAGTAAATGAAAACATATTTTTGTGAGGTTCCTATACTGTACCTGGATTAGCACAATATTAACTTGAACTAGATTGTGATAAGATAAATACAGTAATATCCAAGGCAACCACTAAAAATAATACAATGGGATATAGCTAAAAAATTAATATATATGTTTCAAAAAAATGCTAAAATTTCCTCATTCATTGAAATTTTATCACGAGATTTATCCTGAGATTGCAACAATTAAGTCTCCTCTTTAGGCTCCACTTCTGATTTTAGTTCTCTTGGTATTTCCAATACATCTGCAGTTGCATCCTTCACCAAAGTCTTGAACACCTCAAAATCATTCATGAGAGTTGAAATCAACTTCTTTCAGACTCCTGTTAATGTCAATATAATATTTTAATTTATTTTACCTTACTTTTAAGTTTTTTAATTTTTTATTGTTGTGGGTACGTAGTAGGTGTATATCTTTTTGAGGTATATAGTATATTGTGATACATGCATATAATGTCTAAAAATTGTGTCAGGGTAAATGGGGTATCCGTCACCTCAAGCATTTATCCTTTGTGTTGCAAACTATCCAATTATATTATGTTAGTTGTTTTTAAATGTAAAGTTAAATTATTATTAACTATAGTCACCATGTTGTGCTATCAAATACTAGATCTTATTCAATCTAACTATATTTGTGTATCCACTTACCATCCCCATTTCCCTGCCACTACCCCCACTATCCTTACCGGCCTCTTGTTACCATTATTCTACTCTCTATCTCCATAAGTTCAACTGTTTTAATTTTTAATGCACACAAATAAGTGAGAATATGTAAAGTTTGTCTTTCTGCGCCTGGCTTTTTTCATTTAAAATAATGACCTCCAGTTCCATCCGTGTTGTTGCAAATGACAGGATCTAATTCTTTTTATGGCTGAATAATAATCCATTGTGCATAAGTACCACACTTTATTTATTTATTTATCTATTGATAGATACTTGGGTTGCTTCCAAATCTTGGCTATTGTGAATAGTGCTGGAATAAACATGAAAGTGCAGTATCTCTTTGATGTACTAATTTCCTTTATTTTAGGTATACACTTAGGATTGGAATTGCTGGATCATAAGGTTGGCCTATTTTTCGTTCTTGAGGGACCTCCAAACTGTTCTCCATAGTGGCTGTACTAATTTACATTCCCACCAACAGTGTACAGGGGTCCCCTTTCCCCACATCCTCACCAACATTTGTTATTGCCTGTCTTTTGGATAATATCTACTTTATCTGGGTGAGGTGATATCTCATCGTAGATTTGATGTGCATTTCTCTTATGATCAGTGATGTTGAGCACCTTTTCATATACCTATTTGCCATTTTTATGTCTATTCAGACTTTTTGCCCATTGTTAATTGGATTATTAGATTTTTTCCTATAGAGTTGTTTGAGCTCCTTATATATTCTAGATATTAATCCTTTGTCAGATGGGTAGTTTGCAAATGATTTCTCTTATTCTGTGGGTTGTTGCTTCACTTCTTTGATTTTATCCTCTGCTGCATAGAAGCTTTTTAATTGGATGTGACTCCATTTGTCCATTTTTGCTTTGATTGCTTGTGCTTGTGGAGTATTACTCAAGAAATCTTTCCCTCATCCAATTTCCTGGAGAGATTCCCCAATTTGTGTGTGTGTGGGGGGGGTAGTTTCATGGTTTGGGGGCTTAGCTTTAAGACTTTAATCCATTTTGATTTTATTTTTGTGTATGGTAAGAGATATGGGATCTAGTTTTATTCTGCTGCATATGGACATCTGGTTTCCCCAGCACCATTTATTGAAGAGACTATCCTTTCCACAATTTACGTTTTTGGTTGCTTTGTCAAATATTAGTGTAATATAGATGTATGGATTTGTTTCTGGGTTCACTGTTCTCTTCCATTGATCTGTGTGTCTGCTTTTATGCCAATACTATGTTGCTTCAGTTAGTATACTCCATAATATTAATATAATTTGAAGTCAGGTAGTGTGATTCCACCAGGATTTTTCTTTGACTGGGGATAGCTTAAGCTATTCTGGATCTTTTGTGGCTCCATATAAAATTTAAGATATTTTTTTCTATTTCTGTGAAGGATATCTTTGGAATTTTTACAGGCATTTCATTCAATCTGTAGATTGTTTTGGGTGGTACAGGCATTTTAAAAGTATTGATTCTTCCAATTCATAACCATTATTTTTCCCTTTTTTATGTTTTCTTCAATTTCTTTCATGAATGTTTTATAGTTTTCATTGTAGAGATCTTTCACTTCTTTGGTAAGTTTATTCCTAGGTATTTAATTTTATTTGTGCTATTGTAAATGGCATTACTTTCTTGATTTCTTTTCAGATTGTTCGCTTTCGACATACAAAAATATTACTGATTTTGTATGTTGATTTTTTATCCTGCACCTTTACTAAACTTGTTTATCAATTCTAGGAGTTTTTGGTGGAGATTTTAGGGTTTTCAAAATATAAGATCATATAATCTGTAAACAAGGATAATTTGACTTCCCTTCCTATTTTGATGCCCTTTATTCGTTATCTGAGTACTCCAACTAGGACTTCCATACTATGTTGAATGATAGTGGTGAAAGTGGGCATCCTTGTTGTGTTCCGGATCTCACAGGAAAGACTTTCATTGTTTCTCCATTCAGCCTAATACTAGCTATGGGTCTGTCGTATATGGGTTTTATTATGTTGAGATATGTTCCTTTTTTTTTTTTTTTTTTTTTTGAGATGAAGTCTTTCTCTGTCACCAGGCTGGAGTGCAGTGGCTTGATCTGGGCTCACTGCAACCTCCGCCTCCCAGGTTCAAGTGATTCTCCTGCCTCAGCCTCCTGAGTAGCTGGGACTACAGGCATGCACCACCACGCCCGGCGAATATTTGTGGGCTTTTTGTGTTTTTAGTAGAGAAGAGGTTTCACCATGTTGGCCAGGATGGTCTCAATCTCTTGACCTTATGATCTGCCCGCCTCAGCCTCCCAAAGTGATGGGATTACAGGCGTGAGCCACCACGCCCAGCTGAGATATGTTCCTGAGGATTTTTATCATTAAGCAGTGTTGAATTTTATCAAATTCTGTTTTAACATCAATTGAAATTATCATATGATTTTTATCTTTCATTCTGTTGATATAATGTATCACACTGATGGATTTGTGTATGTTGAACCATCTTTGTATCTCAAGAATATAATTTTCTCATGATGAATTAATTTTTAATGTATTGTTGATTCAATTTGCTAGTATGTTGTTGATAATTTTGCATTTTTGCATCAGTGTTAATCAGAGATAATGGCCTGTGAGTTTAGGTGGGTGGTGGTGTTGTTTTTGATGAAGATGATGTGTCTTTGACTGGTTTTGGTATCAGGGTAATAATACTGGCCTTATAGAATGAGTTTGGGAGTGTTCTCTCTATCTCTCTTTTTTTGGGGGGGTGGGTATAGTTTGAGTAGGATTGGCATTAGTTCTTCTTCGAATGTTTGGTAAAATTCAGCAGTGAGGCCATCAGCTCCCAGGATTTTCATTGCTAGGGGAATTTTTTATTGCAGCTTCAATCTCATCATTATTAATCTATTCATATTCTGGATATCTTCATGGTTCAATCTTAGTAGGTTGTATGTGTCTAGGCATTTATCCATCTCTTCTAGATTTTCCAATGTATTGGCATATAGTTGTTTATAGTAGCCACTGATGATCCTTCGAATTTCTGTTGTATCAGTTGCAATGTTTCCTTTTTCATCTGATGGTATTTATTTGGGTCTTCTCTCTCTTTTTTTTTTGTCTGGCTAAGAGTTTTTCAATTTTTGATATCTTTTCAAAAAACCTTTTCATTTCCTTTATCTTTTGTACTATTTTCTTTGTTTCAATATTATTTATTTCTACTCTGATGTGTTTCTACTAACGTTGGGTTTGGTTTGCTCTTGCTTTTCTAATTCTTTAAGATGCATCATTAGGTTGTTTTTTGAAGTTGTTATTATTTTTTGATATAGGCACCTATGGCTTTACACTTTCCTCTTGTTACTGCTTTTGCTGTATCCCATAGGTTTTGGTATGTTTGGTTTCCATTATCATTTGTTTCAAGAAAGTTTTCAATTTCTTTCTTAATCTCTTTGTTGACCCACTGGTCATCCAGAAGCATACTGTTCAATTTTCATGTATTTGGATACTTTCAGAAAGTATTCTTCTTGTTGATTTTTAGTTGTATTTCATTATAGTCAGAGAAGGTACTTGAAATGATTTCAACTTTTTAAAGTGTTTTAAGACATATTTTGTGGCCTAACATATAGTCTATCCTTCAATGACCCATGTGCTCTAGAGAAGAATGTGTATTCTTCAGCCACGGAATGAAATGTTCTATAAATATATATTCATTCCATTTGGTCTCTAGAGTAGATTAAGTCCAGTGTTTTCTTGATTATTTTCTGTCTGGATGATCTGTACAATGCCGAAAGTGGGGTTTTGAAGTCTCTGGTGATTATTGTATATGGGTATATCTCTTTAGCCCTAAGAATATTTACTTTGCATAGCTGGGTGTTTCAGTGTTGAGTATGTGTATACATTTACAATTATTATATCCTCTTGCTGAATTGACCCCTTTATCATTACATAATGACAGTCTTTGTCTCTTTTTATAGTTTTTCTCTTGAAATATATTTTGTCTGATGTAAGCATAGCAACTCCTGCTCTTTTTTTGCTTCCATTTACATGGAATATCTTTTTCCATCTCTTTATTTTTAGTCTATGTGTGTTTTATAAGTGATGGATATTTCTTGTAGGCAACAGGTTTTTGGATCTTATTTTTAACCATTTAGCCACAATCTATATCTTTTGAATGAACAGTTTGGTCTATTTATTATACATTCACTGTTACTATTGATAAGTAAGAACTTACTTCTACCATTTTGATTATGTTTTATGTCTTTTTTGTGGTCTCCTCTTCCTTCCTTCCTTCATTCTTTCCTTCTTCTCTTTCTTTTAGTGAAGGTAAATTTTTTCTCTTGGTATATTTTAATTTCTTGCTTTTATTTTCTGGGTATCCATTGCAGTTTTTAAATTTGAGTTTACTATGAGGCTTGTAAATAATATCTTATAACCCATTATTTTAACCTGATGGGAACAATACTGATTTCATAAACAAACATACTAATAAACAAGCAAAAAGAAAACTAATAAAAATTCTATTCTTTAACTTCGTCTCCTTGCTTTTTAAATTTTTGTGGCTTCTATTTCTATCTTAGTGTTCTGTCTATGTCTTCAAAAGTTTTTGCAGTTATTACTTTGGATCAGTTATTTTTTTCATTTTTTGCTGAAGATATGAGTAGTTTACATACCACAATTACAGTGTTATAATAGTGTGGGTTCTGGGGTGGGGGGGAGTTGTTTGTTTATTTATTTATTAGTTTTTGAGACAGAGTCTCACTCTGTTGCCAAGGCTGGAGTGCAGTAGTGCAACCTCTGCCTCCCAGGTTCAAGCATTTATCCTGCCTCAGCCTCCCGGGTATCTGGGGTTATAGGCACTCACCACCGCATCAGGCTAATTTTTGTGTTTTTGGTAGAGATGGGTTTTCACCATGTTGGCCAGGATGGTCTCAAACTCCTGACCTCAAGTGATCCACCCACCTCAGCCTTCTAAACTGCTGGAACTACAGGCATGAGCCACTGTGCCTAACCTAGCCTGTTTTTTGTGTACTTACTATTACCATTGAGTTTGGTGCCTTCAGGTGATTTCTGATTGCTCATTACTGTTCTTTTTTCTTTCTGAATTAATTTTCATGAATTTCTCAAAACTCCCTTCAGCATTTCTTGTAGGACATGTTTGGTGTTGACAAAAGCCCTCAGCTTTTGTTTGTCTAGAAAGTCTTGCTTCTCCTCCATGTTTGAAAGATATTTTCACTGAATATATTGTTCTGGGGTAAAAGTTTTTTCTCCTTCAGTGCTTTAAATATATATCATTCCACTCTCTCCTGGCCTGTAAGGTTTTCACTGAGAAATCTCCTGCCAGACATAATGGACATCCATTGTTTATTATTTGTTTCTTTTTTCTCTTGCTGCTATTAGAAATCTTTGTTTATCCTTGACCTTTGGGAGTTTAATTATTAAATATCTTGAGATAGTCTTGTATATTTTACTTGAATATTGATATCTTTGTCTAGTTTTGGAAAGCTGTTATTATCCCTTTGAATAAACTTTCTACCACTGTCTCTCTTTTTACCTTCTCTTTAAGGCCAATAATCGTTAGATCTGCCCTTTTGGACCTATTTCCTTAGATATTGTGGGCATGCTTCATTGCTTTCTATTATTTTGTTATTTTGTCTCCTCTGACTGTGTATTTTCATAGCCAGTCTTCAAGCTCACTAATTCATTCTTCTGTTTGTTCAATTCTGCTATTAAGAAACTCTGATACATTCCTTAGAAGGGCCATTGCATTTTTGAACTTGAGAATTTCTGCTTGATTCATTTTAATTACTTCAATTTTTTGTTAAATTTATCTGATAGGAATCTAAATTTCTTCTCTGTGTTATCTTGAATTTCTTTGAGTTTCTGCAACAAAGATATTTTTATTTTCCCATCTGAAAGGTCATATATATCTCTGTCTCTCCAGGATTGTCCCCTGGTGCCTTATTTAGTTCATTTCCTCAGGCAATATTATCCTGGATGGTCATGCTTGTGGATATACAACAGTGTCTGAGCATTGAAGACTTAGGAATTCCTTGTAGTCTTTGCACTCTGCTTTTATTTTTAATCATCTTGCTTGGGAAGGCTTTCCAGGTATTTAAAGGGAATTGGGTGTTGTGATATAAGGTTTTGGTCACTGCAGCCATATCAATATTAGGGGCCACCCCAAGCCCAGTGAAACTGTAGTTCTTTCAGACTTTTTGGTGGTCTTGGATATGGTCTGGAAAATTTTTCTGGGTTACTATTCAGAAACTCTTGCTCTCTTCACTTACTTTCTCCCAAACAAATGGAGTATCTCTCTCTGCTGAGCTTCCTGGAGCTCAGGGAGGAGTGACATAAGCAGTCTCTGTTGCCTAGACAGCCTTTTAGGTTTATTTAGAACCCCAGATTACTTTAGCCTGAGGTGGTGAGGCTTAAAGAAATTTAGCTTTCAACTGTTGGTAAGGGCACTTCCCCGCTGGCTAGGGCTGGTCTAAATGCACCCTTCGTAGGCACCAGCTGAGTTCTTCCCAGGGCTGGCAGCATTCAGTTTCAATACAAAGTCCCCCGATCACTGTGCTCTCCCTCACCCAAAGCGCACAAATTCTCTCTCAACGCCATGCAGCCGCAGCTGGGGGATGGGTAAGGGGTGTTTTCAGCAATTCAAGAATGTCTTTTCTACCTTCTTCAGTGCTTTTTTCAGCAATAAGAAGTCAAAACCGGGTATGTGATTGCTTACATGCTGTTAGATTCTTATGAAAGTGCTTTTTGTGTAGATAGTTGTCAAGTATGATGTTCCTGCGGGGAGGATGATCAGTGAAAGCTTCTATTTGGCCATTTTGCTCGGACTCCTCATTCAAAGTTCACATTTTGACCTCCTCCCATGAATCACAAATATTGTTAATGGAAATCTAGAATGGTAAATCATTTTCAGGAGGTTTCCACTTTACTTTACACAGACCCATAAGAGGAATTACTGTCTATGGCAGCCTGACAAAATATATTTCTTGATGAGTAAGACTTAAAAGTCAAAATTACTCCTTGATCCACCAGATGCAGGATGTGTTAGCAGGCATGACAGTAATATTAATTTCCTTGTACAACTCTATCAGAGCTCTTGAGTTTCTAGGTGCATTGCCAGTGTGCAGTAATATTTTGAAATGGACCTTTTTTTCTGATCAGTAAGTCTTAACAATGAACTTGAAGTAGTCAGTAAACCATGCTTTAAACAGATGTAAGGTCATCCAGGCTTTGCTGTTCCATTTATAGCACATAGGCAAGGTAGACTTAGCATAATTCTTAAAGGCTCTACGATTTTCAGAATTGTAAATGAGCATTGGCTTTGAAGTTCACAGTTACATTAATCCCTTACAAGAGAGTCCACCTGTCCTTTAAAACTTTGAAGCCAGGCATTAGCTTCTCTCAAGTTATGAAAATCCCAGATGGCATCTTCTTCCAATAGGAGGCTGTTTTGCCTACACTGAAAAGCTGTTTAGTGCAGCCACTTCCATCCATGATCTTACCTAGATCTTCGGAATAACTTGCTGCAGGTTCTATATTATTTGGCACTTGATGCTTCACCTTTCACTTTTATGTTATGGGGGTGGCTTTTATCCTTAAACTTCATAAAGCCACCTCTGTGAGCTTCACATTTTCCTTCTGTAGTTTCCTTCCCTTTCTCAGCCTTCATAGAATTTAAGAGCATTAGGGCCTTGCTCTGGATTAAGCTTTGGCTTAAGGAAATCTTGTGGCTGGTTTTATCTTTTATCCAATCTGCTAAAATTTTATTTATATCAGCAATAAATCTATTTCAACTTTCTTATTATTTGTGTGTTCACTGGAATAGGAATTTTTGTTTTCTTCACAAACTTTCTCTTTGCATTCACTACTTGGTTGTTTGGTGCAAGAGGCCTAGCTTTCAGTCTATCTCTTCTTTCAATGTGCTTTCCTCACTAAACTGAATCACTAGTAGCTTTTGATTTACAGTGAAATATGTGTAACTCTTTCTTTCACTTGAACACTTAGAGACCATTGTAAGGTTATTAATTAGCCTAATTAAAATATTGTTATGTTGCAAGGGATAAGGAGTCCTGAGGTAAGGAAGAGAGAAGGGGGAATGACTGGTAAATGGTGCACTTAGGACACACACAAAGTGAATGAATTAAATTCATCATCCTATATGGGAGCTTTTTGTGGCACTTCAGAACAATTACAACAGTAACATCAAAAATCACTGGCCAGTGGCCAATTTATAGTATGTGGCTTAGTATGGAAACGCCTGGGCCAAGAAACACAGGCCTGAGCACCCTGAAGCCATTGACTTTGATCTCTGGTCTCCAGGATACATCACTGATGTATTCAAGGAGGCTGTGAGAGTCTAGCCCCGCGACTGCTTCTCCCTTCCCTTGTTCCCCCTTCACACACTTCTTAGGAGGGTCATCTGCTACTTCCCCAGTGTGGCACCACTTACAAAAAGGCCTGGAAGCTTAATGTGCACCTGTAATCACATGGGGAAGAAACCATTTGTTTATGACTGTGAAGGGTGTGGCAAGACCCACCTCAAGAGACTAACATCTGAGTTGTCATGTCCTGATCATACTGCAGACAAGCCATATGTTTGTGCAGCTAGTAGCTGTGATCTAAAAATTCAACACAAAATCAAACTTGAAGAGACATTTTACAGGCAAACATGAAAACCAGCAAAAAAAAAAATATACATATGCAATTTTGGAGGTTGGAAGAAGACCTTTACGAACATCAGCAGCTGAAAAACCATCACTGCCAGCATACCAATGAACCACTATTCAACTGTACCCAGGAAAGATGTGGGAAGCATTTTTCCCCATCCATCCAGCAAGCGGCAAGGCCCATGCGGGCTCTATATGTCAAAAAGCGTGTTCTTTTGTGGTGAAAGCATGAACAGAAGTTTTGAAACATGTGAGAGAAACTTATAAAAAGGAAACAACATATGAAGCAGGCCAGAAAACATTTAAACATTATCTTAAGCAACATATGAACACTCATGCCCCAGAAAGGGATATTTTTGACATACAAGAGAAGTCTCTGGAAGAACCTACACAACTGTGTTTACTCTACAAATCCATATCCTTTCCATGAGAAAAAAGGTGCCATTTTGCATGTGAACATGTTGGCTGTGGCAAAACATTTGCAATGAAACAAAGTCTTTCTAGGCATGCTGTTGTACATATTCTGACAAGAAGAAAATGAAGCTCAGAGTAATAGCTAGAAGAATGGATTCTGAATGTTCTTCACACAAAAATAATAAATGTCAGAGGTGATAGATATGCTAATTACCCTGATTATACAAATTGTATACACGTATCAAAATATCACACTTTACCCCATACATATGCAGAATGTATTCATGCAGAATGAATGTAGTATGTGTCAATTAAAAAATAATAAAAGCAAAAAATAAATTTCATTAAAAACCTAGCTTGACCTCTCATCTCAGTGGATATATCCCTCCTAAAATAAGAGCAAGACTTATTTTTGTCTCCAAGTGGAAGGCCTCCGAACCGTATGGAAGACAGGGTGGGCTCCACAGTCTGGATACTACCACAAGTATCATATTGCTTTATTCAAAGGACTACAGACCAATGAGCTTAGCTGTTTTCCCTCAGAAGCATATTATTCTTTATTAAAATTTTTGATGCAGAAAAAGGAAGATGAATAATCACAGATCGTCATAACAGATATGATAATAATTAACAAATTTAAATATTGTGAGAATTACCATGTAACAGAGAGTCATGAAGCAAGCACATGCTGTTGAAAAAAACCGAGCTGATAAGCTTGCTAGATGTAAGGTTCCACAAACCTTCAATTTGTAAAAATTGTAATGTTGTGAAGTGCACAAAAGCAAGGCACAATGAAAAAAAAAAAAAGTCATGCCTGTATGTCACAGTTGATATTTACTTAATCCCAATATAGTGCTAAGACTGGCCGAAGACATTGGTTCACAAGAGCCATTTTATTTTTTAATTTTCAGGATTTTTTTCAAGCAGATTTTTAAACTATCGATAGTTTGAATATGGTGATGAGGTAGTTACTTATACTATGGAGGCCTGCAAATTCTTCAAACCAGATTCCCTCCCTGAGGCCAGTTCTTAGACATTCGCAGCACATCGCTACTTAAAACTTAAAAACTTAATTCATAGTTGATACGGTTTGGCTATGTCCAAACCCAAATCTCATATTGAATTCCCACTTGTTGTGGGAAGGACCTGGTGGGAGGTAATTGAATCATGGGGGCAGGCCTTTCCCATGTTGTTCTCATGATAGTGGATAAGTCTCACGAGATCTGATGGTTTTACAAGGGGGAGTTTCCCTGCACAAGCTCTCTTCTCTTCTCTGCCACCATGTGAGACATGCCTTTCACCTTCTGCCATAATTGTGAGGCCTTCCCAGACATGCCTTTCACCTTCTGCCATAATTGTGAGGCCTTCCCAGCCACATCGAACTGTGAGTCCATTAAACCTCTTTATTTTTTTATTTTTTGCTCTTATTTCACTATTGTTTATTTTCTTTTTTTAAATTATTATTATACTTTAAGTTTTAGGGTACAATTTTGTAAATTGCCCAATCTTGGGTATGTCTTTATCAGCAGCATGAAAACAGACTAATACAATAGTATTACTGCAAATGTTGACATTAGTGCCAGTAAAACTAGGTTATCTACAACCAGCAATCTTTTACTTTAATGCATGTAAATTTTATATTAAAATGCAGTTTTATTCTTAATCACAAGTGAAGTTCATGAATATATTGTGAGACAAAGTAGCAAATGTTACAAACCACGTTTGCTCATTTCTGCTTGCTAGCAAAATTTCACAAACCCCTGACTTTGTTACCATCTGCAGCTCTCTCAAGGGAGGCTTTGGAAATAAAACAGGATAGCGTGCAGAGCCCTCAGTGTCTCTTGTCTGAGCTACTATATTTTTCTTAAAAGATAAAGGACCCTAGTCCTTGCCTTTCCCTGCATATAAGATAACTTCTGACAGGGGTAGTGATTATGCTTCTGTAATCTATAACCAAATGTACCCTTACACCCAAAGCTTGATGTGATTCTGCTTTAATGTAACTCCTGAGCAAGTCTGATGTGATTTTGCACATACTGAACCCCCACCACTTGTATATAAGCAGTGGCTGAAACACTAAGCAGGAGCAGTCTGGCAGAACTGCCCTACAGCTACAGGCTTCAGTCTATAGTCTTCAGTAAGACTTCTGAATAACACTAACTTTAATCCTTCCAAAGCTTGACTATGTTTTCTTTAGTAAACAATATTTATATATTTTTGTTATAATTCACAAAATGTTATATTGATAAAAAGTGTAGACTCTGTAGTTTCAAAGTAAACAAAAATATTATAACAAATATTACAATTTAAAGAATATAGTATTAATATAGCAACACTACATTGTTAAAACATCAATCAGAATACAGAATATACTATATGATCCAGAATGACTCGAGGCTTCCAAAGAGAAGAGTAGCAACATTTTTTTTGATCCCATTTGTTTTTCAGTGAAGTAATAAAGTGGGCAAACAATCATCAACACAGCAATGATTCAGAAAATAAAAATCTAGCATTTTCATGCATATTTAGAAAACCAATCCGTAAAGTTATCCACTGAATCCAACATATCATTTTTATAAAAGTAGTTTGACAATAACATAATTTACTTTCTTAGGAAAAAGCTTTTTTCTAAGACCTTGAAATCAAAAGCAATTCACTATAGATGAAGAACAGGACCTGCTAAGAGGAATGTGGGAATAACATTGATTGAGCATGCTATGTGACAAGCAATATGTTAGGCTCTTTTCACAATCCGTGTAGCAATTTTTAAAAGAATATTGTAGCTTTATTGTCTTGAAGAGAAAAGGACTTGAAATTTTATGGCATATTTTTAGTTTTAAATATTAAGTAGTTTGTTTTAAAATGTGCTTATTTGGATACATGAAATAATTAGTTACAAATTTAGTAGAAATTTACTTATTAGTACAATAATAAAAAAAACTTTCACCCAAAAGTTGTAAGTAAAATACTCTCAGCACTTACTATCTATTTAGAAAATCTTTGAAACTACCCCCAAACACTCAGTATTTCCTAGACAGGATCCCTGGCAGAGAAGACCTGAGTTTTGTATTGTCTTGACCTCAAGAGAAGTTAATAATATACCAGCAATGGCCATCCAGAGGCAAATACTCAGGCCTTGAACCTCTCCTGCTTTTGATGAAGGGTGAGAGAATATGGGAAAACACCAGTCCCAGCTCATTTTCGTGTCTAAAACATCCAACAAATCTACCCCTTTCCTTCCTCCCTTCCCTTCCTTTCCCTTCCCTTTTTCCTTTCCTTTCCTTTTTCCTTTATCTTCCAGTTCCCCGTCCCCTTCCTCTTCTTTCCTTTCCCCTCCCCCTCCTTCCCCTCCCCCTCCCCTTCTCCTTCTTCCCCTCCCCCTCCCCTTTTCCTTCTTCCCCTTCCCCTTCTTCCCCTTCCCCCTGCCCTTCCCCTTCTTCCTCTTCCCCCTCCTCTTTCCTTTCCCCTCTCCCCTTCCCCTTCCCCTTCTTCCCCTTCCCTTTCCCTTTTCTTTTTTTTTGAGACAGTCTCTCTCTGTCACCAGGCTAGAGTGCAGTGGTGAGATCTCAGCTCACTACAACCTCTGCTTCCTGGGTTCAAGCAATTCTCCTGCTTCAGCCTCCTGAGTAGCTGGGACTACAGGCTTGCACCACCATGCCCAGCTAATTTTTGTATTTTTTTTTTTTTTTTTTTAAGTAGAGATGAGGTTTCACCACGTTGGCCAGGATGGTCTTGATCTGTTGACCTCGTGATCCACCCAACTTGGCCTCCTAAAGTGCTGGGATTACAGGTGTGAGCTACCGTGCCTGGCCTCCTTTCCTTTTTTAAAAATAAAAACATAAGAAGGCTGAACTAACTTGTCAAAGTGATAGTGTGATAGTCTAAGTAAAGGGCAAATCCAGCAAGATATGGAACTCATGAAAGCCTAACTCCAAAAGTCATGTTCTAACAGTCCCTGGTAAACTTGAATAGCACAGAAAATTATAATGAGACTATTTAAATAAGGAACAAATGTTTCCCTTTCTCCTGTCATCTTGCTGAGTTTGTTATGTTACTCTTCATTGACACTTAATCTTATATTCTGTTGTATTGCATACAATTTTTTAAAAATATGTAGCATTCATTCAAATTATTCTATGGTCAAATTCCCCAAAGGAGAGCTTTCTCTGTGTCCATGGCTTCTTTTGAACTCACTCTAAGTCTTGAGAGAGGAAATGGCAGAAGATAATTTCCCTGTGGGACTAAATTAAAATGTCAAGACCTACACATGAGCAAAGATAGAGAAAAACTAGACTAGGAATAATATGATGATAAATATCTCTATTTTCTGAAAAGCATTGCTTCTAATAAGTTCCAAGTACTAAACCTTCTATACATTAGATATTACATTACAGAAGAATTGCAAGTGCTTTAAAATTGATCACTCATCACATTATGAAAAATGAATGCTATAGTATGCATCATAAAGTTGTGCATTCCAGTATTAAATACTGAAAGCTTGTTCCAAAGAAAAGGGAAGAAAAACAATATTAAGCAGTGCATTAAGCAGTGTCATTAAGCAGTGCAAAAATGGCAAGAAAAGGCATGGCATTTTAAAAAAATATCCAAGGATATATCAATCTCCTGGAGTCAGGGATAATGGAATTTTATAGTAAATCTTCATCCATATCTGGTATACTTAATTCAGGTTTTAAATTTAAACCCTGGATTTATGCCTACAGAACTGACAAAAATCTGATTGCTATTCTACACCACATTCGTCTTGGCTACAAAAACACAGTGATATTAAAGACAAGATGCAAAAGTCATATTCAAGAAAATTGATTTTCTCTGTTGAAAATCACCATTTTCATTAAATTCATTAGCAATCTAAGAATCCTAAATCAACTGTGAATTGTATTTAATTCAAAAAAAATACAAATGTTGACTTTGAACAAGTGAAAATGCAAAGATCACTTATTTTGCCTTTTTGTTTAGAATTAATTGTGCAAATGTCATTACAGACACATGATTAATTGTTAAAAGTATCATGAGCTATTTCCCTTCTGGGGCTTATAACTGACTGACACAAACCCACGACTATCCATCAGAGATTATTCCAAAAGTTAGGAGATTCTGCCCTACTGTCTTCCTGAAGAGAAGACAAGCTCATTATTCTGTAATTCTATGCAATAATGCTCAAAAGTGTAAATTTCTAACATATAAATATTATTTTCCTATTATATTTCATGCTGATAAATAAGAAAAAAACTCTTTTTTTTGTTTAAATGTGACTAACCACATCACATTAAAATAATTGAGAACAAAGTTTTAAATAAATACCAATGTCTTAAAGAGTCTATATATTAAATATTTAAATTTACCACTTCCTTTTTGATCATCCAAACTGTGTCTTAAAATATATTTGATAAAAATGGGTGAGGAACTTGTTTAATTTTTGTAGAAACCATGCAAGAAGTGGCCATCAAATTATAATACAAAAATGCAGTACTCTAAGGCTAAGCATTTATTGTTGAGATTCTAAATCTGCTTAGACATTATTTATAATTTTTGAAGCTTTATTAAAATAAAATAAAATTTGTGAGAGAAGCTAACTTTTTGTACATTTATTTGTTTTCCTTCATTTGTGATAGCAATACAGGTTGAGTGTCTCTTATCCAAAACACTTAGGACAAGAAGTGTTTCTGTTTTTATCTATCTATCTATCTATTTATTTATTTATTTATTTATTTTTGAGTTTGGAGTATTTGCATATACAGAATGATATATCTTGGGAACAGGACCCAAATCTAAACACAAAATTTATTTATATTTGTACTTACCTTATACACATAGTCTGAGGGTAATTTTTATAAAATATTTCTGACAATTTAGCACATAAAACAAAGTTTTGGCTGCATTTTGACTGCAGCCTGTCACATGAGGTTAGATGTGAAAGTTTTCACTTGTAGAGTCATGTCAGCACTCAAAAAGTTTCAGATTTTGGAGCATTTTGGATTTCATATTTTTGGACTTGAGATGCTGTATTTTCATTAGCAATCTAAGAATCCTAAATCAACTGTGAATTGTATTTAATTAGCTTCATTTTGAAATCACCAGCTTAGCTTAGTTAACAAAGGGAATCTCTTTTATACAAAATTATTTTTATGTTACTGAAAATTAAAATTATTATAAATTATTTAATTTAGAAAATATAAGTGACTTAAAAAGGTTCAATCAAAATATAGGCTACTTTATTTAGACATATTTTTTGAAATACAAAAACTAATTACTAATTATTTAATTTTAGAAAAATAGATGTTATTTTTATTTTCTACACATGTATCTGTCAGGAGCTCAGCTGGGCTGGGAGAGACAGAACTGAGCTGTCTGGTGTCGAAGTCACCAATCAAAGAAACAAGCCATAAATAAAGAGTTCAGTCTTTAGTCCCTTACTGTGATGGTGTAAGCAAGAGTCTAAAACCAGAAGAAATGCTCACTTCCCCTGCTCCATTTTCCCCCATAGAATGTCACACAGAGTGAGAGTCAGGAGGATGAAAGCAAACATAGGGATTGTCTCACTCTTCAGGGATCTACAAACAAAAGTATTTGTCAGTTTTTTGGATTTGAGTGGGGCTAGAGGGAAGGTGGGAAGGGGGTGAGTTTGAAGCTAGGAATGGAAAAGTACTGATTACTGAATCAGTCTGGGAAAGTATCCTTAAGGTTTCTCCCTTCTCCTCTAAAAAGAGACCCCTGGAAACACCTGAAGAGTACCTTTGCTAATGGCCTCAGATGAAGCATCAAACTAAAAATGCAAATATGTGAAAGATTATGACCAGCAAAGAGAGCCTGTATTCTTGACTGCAACTCCCTTCAGAGAATGCAGTACCCTTCACTGGGCACCGAGTCTGGTGTGGGTAGGGCAGTTTCCCTGGTGAGGCCTGTCAAATAAAGTCTTTGTAGCTGCATCTGGTCAGGCCTAAAAATCACACATAGGTTTTTCATCAGAAGCAGAACTCCTCAATATTCTCCTACTAAAATTTGATATGGACAATAGCCACACTAAAATATCTGCTAGTTTATCATATCTACATGACTAACAGATTATTTCTACAAATTGACTTTGAAGCATCTCTGTATTGATAAACCCATGGATATGTGGCATATAAGAAAAACATACATGTAGTTGAGGTAATTGCTTTATTCACCAGGTAGGAGGCTACTGTCTTGTATAGACTCTCTCTCTTCCATGCTCCTTTTATTAAATTCTCACTTCTCCAAACTCAGATAGGATAAATAATCATTAAAAGGAGACTTAGTCTGATGTCAGTGAACATCCACTCGCTGGGAATTGGATATAGTTTTCCTGCCTTCTGACTGTGGATATATTAATAACAAAAATAAATGCAACCATTAAGTCTAAAAAGTAACAATAGAAAAAAGGGAATGAATCAAGAGCTTGAAGAGTCATGAAATAAAATCAGCAATGTGTTTTGAAGAAATTCCTCTTAGAGAGTTCTGTGAAAAGACTGCATGGAAGTTGGTGGCTGGAATCAAATTTCAAAGTCCAAAAGTCACAAAATACAGATTTGGGTTGAATCTGAATCAGAAAAAAAAAAAAAAAATTCAGATAAACACTACTTGCAACTACTTAAAGTGAGGTGAAAGCAATGGGCAGCTGGATATTGACCAGTAAAAGAAGCAAAAAGGAAGTCAAGGTGGGTGAATAAATATTTGGCTGTAACAGAAACAAGGGTGTATTGTGAAACACATGTGGCAAGGTCAGCCAGGTAGGAAGAAGATAAACGTCTGACACACCGTGAAAGAAGATGGTTATTTGAAGACTGGCTGTTCAGCTGGCAGGACTTAACAAGCTGCCTGTGAGTCACAACATGCCCAGAAAATGGATATTCCTCACTGAGCCATTTCAGGAATTCTTGCTTAAGAATATTTACTTATCTCTTTGATATACTGATTTCCTCTCCTTTGGGTATATATCCAGCAGTGACATATAAATTTCTTACGTAAATGCTAACCAAATTCTAAATGACACCTATAACAGCCAAAAAGTCAAAAAATAAATAAACAAAAACCTAACCCAGTAGGAGGCTTTCATTACTTAGCAGCAAACACATTACATCAATTAATTTCTAAAAGTGTTCATCAAAAAGGTTAGAGATAGCATGGAAAAGTTATGCGAAGTTTGCACAGATAATAATAATTTGTCCTTTATACTTTTTTCATAGCCCTCTTACTAAGCTTTATATGGCTAATCGTTTAAATATTATATAAGTAATGATAATAAAATATTAATGTTTATTTCTCCCTTTCTACATACCAGAAACTGTGCAAGGTGATTAATATGAAATTATTTTTAAGAGATGAAAACTAACTTTAATCACCCCACTGAAACTGAAAGACAATAATCTGTAGCAATTCATGATGCAAGAGAAACCTGCGCACTAGAGGATAAACTGCTTGTTGTGACCGTGCTGGGTGTGCCCGCCTATCAGACACCCGATCTTGCAAGACTGTCATTAAAAGTCTCACTTTCACTGTTCTTTAAGTCCATTCTTTCAGTTTGGATGGGTGATTTTGTTTCTCACAATATATATGCTCTCAACTCTGGCAAACTCTATATTCATTATTCACAAAATCCCTGCTCTTATCTTAGACGCATTTAAGCTATCATTTCTTAGCAGCCAAACATAAGTCAGGAATGTAAAAAACAAATTAGTTTAGATTGAACTAACTAGTCATGAATTGACATTAATTAAATTACTTAGTTTTGTATCATCTTAGCAAAACCATGGGGAGTAATGCAGTTAAACGCAGCAAGAGAATAAGCTATGATTGAAATGGATAATAAGTATCATCATCTATAACCAACGAAAATTGTCTGCAGCGATTATGACCAGTTTTTCATCACAAAATAAACCTTTTAAAGGGCTTGCCCAACTGGGTCCTCCGGATCTAATCCTGAATATTTTCTCATTTGATCCCTGGGCCTCTGCAGAAATGCACAGGGAGTATCTTTTTCTTGCTGGATCTTGAATGCTTTCGAGACATGCTATGTCCTAGGAGTGGACTCTTTAATTCCTCTAATTATTATTAGCTCCTTAAGATCTTGCATTTAGATCCGATCTCTGGGGTTATTGTTATCCCAACTGGGATTTGCATTTGGGAATTTCTGCTCAGCTGGCAGGACTCTTTGCCCCAGAAGATGCTATCTCCCTCAAATGGTCACGGCTGCCCTATTATAATCATTCCCCTCTCTCCCCCAGTAAACAGAACATTCATGATTGACACTGTCTCAGCCCAAGTATAAAAATTGGGTCCTCAAAATTGATCTAGCTGCTAAACTGAGGGGTTTTTCCAAGAGTGGCCTCATTTTGTTTTTAAAATTCCTAACCTTCGTACTTGTTAAAGGCACACTCACAAATCCAACTTCTCCCTGCCCCATAGGGACTTCTCTAAGAGCGTACATGTTAGACAGCTGCTGTTTAGAAGGAAGAGGGAAATTCTCAATGTCCTTCTTACATTGTTTTAATTCTTTCCTCAAGTTTGGATAAGTATTTAAGGCAAGACTGGGTTTAGCTCCTTCATGACCCCCAGATTCCTTTTCCTCCGGCCTTCCTGTTGCCCCCTGATCTACCTGTCCTCTACTTTGTGAGATGTATGTGCAGTGAGGGGGTACCATGTTAGGGGATCCCAGGGCTTTTCACTGGACAAGCGCTCCTTACTCTGCTTTTTCTTCCTCTTTAAGGGGGAATATGGGGCTAGTTCACTAATCCAACAAACCAACAAAGAGCATAACCCATCTCCTCTTGTGAGAATGGAATTTTATCATTGACATAGAGAATTAAAGCTTCACACACCCAATCTTCATCTGAGCCAAACTTAGGCCAAAAGACCAAAGGCTGATAAATGGGCTTTCTGAGTTAGATAAAACAGCAATACTTCATCATCTTTTGATTTTCCTTGTCCCTGGTTTGAGGATTATACCTTCAAACCTGCAACATTCTCCCCAACAGACTATCTGGGAGAATGTCAGAGGGGGTCTTTTTACTTACCTCTTTCATTTGTTCCTTAGGCCTAAAATTTCTGTTTCCCATTTTCGGTTAGTCTCTGTGTCTGAGCTTTTCCCTGTGTACTCAACCCCCCCTACTGGAGGTTTCTTACACAC